>NW_025791777.1:704908-860094 GCF_000001405.40 Homo sapiens | reverse complement strand
GACCTCAGGTGATCCGCCAGCCTTGGCCTCCCAAAGTGCTGGGATTACAGGCGTGAGCCACCGAGCCTGGCTGTATTTTTAAATACAAAAATTTGCCAGGTATTGTGATGGGTGCCTGTAATCTCAGCTACTCGGGAGGCAGAGGCCGGAGAGTCACTTGAACCCAGGAGGTTGCAGTGAGCTGAGATCACACCACTGCACTGCAGCCTGGGTGACAGAATGAGACTCCATCTAAAAAAAGAAAAAAATGTATTTTTTAAAATACATGATATGGCAAATCATAAAGGTGGTAAGCATCTGAAGTGTGAGAAATAATCATGCAGCTTATGCAGTTTTTGTCTCTACCAATCTTTCAAACCCTCAAACTGCAATGCTTGCTCATTATAGAAAATCTGGGAAAATACAGTAAGTTCTAAATTTCCATAAATTCTAAATAGCATCTCTTTGAAAACTAACTCCTTGGGCATTTATCCCAGTGAAATGATAATAAACAGCCAGCATTTGAAATGTATATTTCAATGACTCGTATATGAATACTATGTTCAGATCACAATAAAGGACATTTCCAGCACCCTCTTAGATAATGCCTCCCATCTGATTATCACCATAGATTAGTTTTGCCTGTTTTTGAATTTTTTGTAAATGGGATCACACGGTATGTGCTGTAGTGAGCCTAGCTTGATTTGCTCAACGTTACGTCTAAAAGAATTCTCTATTTTGCTGCTATGCAGCAGTTCAGCCTTTTTCACTGTTGTGTAGCATTCTGTTATATGAATATACCATAATTTAGTTACTCTACATTTCATGGACCTTTGAATTGCTCCCACTTTGGGGCTGTTATGAATAATGCTACCGTAACATTTTTATATATCTTATGATGGTCTTAAACACGCTATCTACTGAGTATATGCCAGGAATGGAATTGCTGGGTCATAGGGTGTGTGTCTATACACACACATACACACATTTTTTAGTAGGTACCATCAAACAATTGCATTTTTGTTGTTTTTGTTTTAGTTTGTTTTTAATGACCATACCATTTTACCACCAGCAATAAAGGAAGGTTCCATTGCTCCATACCAGCATTAGGTATTATCAGTCCTTTTATCTTTAACCATATTGGTGGGAGGTAGTGGTATCTCATTGTAGTCTTAATTTACTTCCATATACTTAATTTAAATACACTCAATTTATATACACACACGTATACTCTCTCAGCCTTCAGTAAGCCAGTCCCATTCCCCTGAACTAACCAATGTTAATAATGGTATACTTCTCTCAGTGCTCATGCAAACATGCATACACACACATACACATAAATAAGGGGTGTGGGAATGTATTTGATTCTGAGAGCTGCTGTAACAAATTACCACAAACTTAGTGGCTTAAAACAACAGAAATATTTCTGTTCACAGTTCTGGAGGCCAGAAATCTGAGAGCAAGATGTCAGCTGGGCCACACCTCCCTCTGAAGGCTCCAAGGGAGAATCCTTGCTTTCCTCTTCCAGCTGCTGGTGGCTCCAGGTATTACTTGGCTTATGGCAGCATAACTCCTATCTCTGCCTTTGTCTTTGTGGTCTTCTTTTCTGTCTTCTTCCCTTCTTTTTATGAGGACTTTTGCTGTTGGATTTAGGTTCCATTCTAACCTAGGATGATCTCATTTGGAAATCCTTAATTTCATCTACAAAAACTGTTTTCCCAAATAGGTCACATTCACGCATATCAGATGGACAGATGTATCATTTTGGGGTCCACCATTCAACCCACTACAAGGAGTTTTTTAAACAAAAATAGGAAACTTAGATGTAACTTAGCACTTTTTTTTTTTTTTTTTGAGATGGAGTCTCACTCTGTCACCAGACTGGAGTGCAGTGGCGCCATCTCAGCTCCATGCAACCTCTGCCTCCTGGGTTCAAGCAGTTCTCTTGCCTCAGCCTCCTGGGTAGCTGGGATTACAGGCACGCGCTGCCACACCCAGGTAATTTATTTATTTTTTTTTTGAGACAGAGTCTCGCACTGTTGCCCAGGCTGGACTGCAGTGGCGTGATCTCTGCTCACTGCAACCTCCGCCTCCCGGGTTCAAGCGATTCTCCAGCCTCAGCTTCCTGAGTAGATGGGATTACAGGCGCCTGCCACCACGCCCAGCTAATTTTTTGTATTCTTAGTAGAGATGGGGTTTCACCATGTTGGCCAGGCTGGTCTCCATCTCCTGACCTCGTGATTCACCCGCCTCGGCCTCCCAAAGTGCTGGGATTACAGGCGTGAGTCACAGCCCCCGGCCATAATTTAGCACTTTAAAAAATAATAGCCATGTTGGGCCAGGCGTGGTGGCTCATGCCTGTAATCTGAGCACTTTGGGAGACCAAGGCGGGTAGATCCCTTGTGCCCAGGAGTTCAAGACCAGCCTGGGCAACATGGCGAAACCCCATTTCTACTAAAAATACAAAAATTAGCTGGGGCGAGGGGATAGGCCGAGTTCCGGGTGTAAGGGGGCCATTAGGGAGAGCAGAGCGAGGCAGCTGATCTTCCGGATTGGGGGCCTTGCCCGGAAGCTGGACCTCACGGAGATGAAACGGAAGATGCACGAGGATATGATCTCCATACAGAACTTTCTCATCTACGTGGCCCTGCTGCGAGTCACTCCATTTATCTTAAAGAAATTGGACAGCATATGAAGATTGGACATCACATGTGAATGCATGATATGAAGAGCCTGGTTACAGTTTCTACTGTTCTCTGCAAGTAAATAGGCCCAGAAAGGTATAAGAGACTCTTTGAATGGACATAAAAATTCTGCTTGTTAAGAACAAGTTGAGCTCTGGTAACTGATCTTAATAGCTAAAATATAAAAATATTTGGGAAGTCTGAAATGAGGTCTCCTGGCCCTGGTGTGCCCTTAATGCCTGTGACAGTTGGCCTCTGTGAATATTGGTATAATTGTAAATAATGTCAAACTCCATTTTCTAGCAAGTATTAATAATTAAGGGAAGTATGTCTGAAATGGCACTGTCTTGTCAGTCATTTCTGTTTACCCTTCTGTCTGGAGTGTATTTGTGAAGAGTCCCTTATAACTTATGTTTTATGGACATCAGCACATAACCACAATGACATTGAAGCACAGGATCATTAGTCTATATTTTATTTTATTATTTTATTTATTTATTTATTTATTTTTGAGATGGAGTCTTGCTCTGTCGCCCAGGCTGGAGTGCAGTGGCACAATCTCGGCTCACTGCAAGCTCTGCTTCCCAGGTTCACGCCATTCTCCTGCCTCAGCCTCCCGAGTAGCTGGGACTACAGGTGCCCACCACCACACCCGGCTAATTTTTTGTACTTTTAGTAGAGATGGGGTTTCACTGTTTTAGCCAGGATGGTCTCGATCTCCTGACCTCATGATCCACCCGCCTTGGCCTCCCAAAGTGCTGGGATTATAGGTGTAAGTCACCATGCCCAGCCCGTTAGTCTATATTTTTAAGTAAACATACCAATTAAGAAAGAAGCCAAAAACCAAAATTAGCCAGGTGTGGTGGCACGTGCCTGTAGTCCCAGCTACTTGGGAGGCTGAGGTGTGAGGATCACTTGAACTCAGGAGGCAGAGGTTGCAGTGACCCAAGATGGTGCCGCTGCACTCCAGCCTGGGTGACAGAGTGAGACCCTGTTTCCACAAAAAGAAAAAAAAAATAGCCGTGCCTGTACTTCAGTACTTACAAATTTAACTTTAGTATAGATGTACAGTAATTTATTCAATCATTTCCTTACTCATAGACAATTAGGATGTTGCAACTTTTGCCACTACAAACAATTCTGCGATGTGGATTATCGTACTTATTCCCATTTATTGGTGCTTTCATTTCTATAAGAATGGATTTTTAAAGATAGAATTCCTTGGGAATAGTTATGTCAAAGCCAAATATAATATAGAGACAAATCTCTAAAAACATTTTATTTGGTAAGCAAGAGCTGCAATTCATGGCATACACACAGACCGGGCTGATCATTGGTATGATCAGGAGAATAAAGGGAAGGTTGCGGCCAGGTGTGAGAGCTCATGCCTGTAATCCCAGCACTTTGGGAGGCCGAGGCGGGCAGATCACCTGAGGTCAGGAGTTTGAGACCAGCCTGACCAACATGGAGAAACTCCGTCTCTACTAAAAATACAAAATTAGTTGGGCATAGTGGCGCATGCCTGAATCCCAGCTACTCAGGAGGCTGACACAGGAGAAATGCTTGAACCCGGGAGGTGAAGGTTGCAGTGAGCCGAGATCGCGCCATTGCACTCCAGCCTGGGCAACAAGAGCAAAATTCCATCTCAAAAAAAAAAAAGAGAAGGTTCCGGGTTTTATGAGAAAGAACAGTATTACATACTGTTTTGGAAGAAAGCTCATTCACACTAGAGCTTGTGGGAGCTAGCAAGCTCTGATTGGTGAGCGATGGTGGTAGGTAAAACCAGTCTTAGAGTCATGGCAGTTCATTTTAGCAGCTATTAGGTAAAACTGGTCTTAGGGATACAGAAGGCTGGTTCAGCAGTTGGACTTGTGGAAAATTTAATTCTTGAAGCAGATGCTGTGTGCCCCGAATGCTTCTTCCCCCTGGCCCTTCAACTCTGATTTAGTTGAGTATTTCAAGAATGACCCAATTTATGTAATCAACTTTCACAGGTATACATGTCTTAAACTTTAAACAGATGTTTTGGGTTTTGTTGTTGTTGTTTTTGAGACGGAGTCTCACTCTGTTGTCCAAGCTGGAGTGTAGTGGTGTGATCTCGGCTCACTGCAACCTCCGCCTCCAGGGTCAAGTGATTCTCCAGCCTCAGCCTCCTGAATAGCTGGGATTACAGGCGCCCGCCACCACGCCCAGCTAATTTTTGTATTTTTAGTAGAGATGGGGTGGGGTTTCACCATGTTGGCCAGGCTGGTCTTGAACTCCTGACATCAAGTGTTCTGCTCACCTCAGCCTCTGAAAGTGCTGGGATTACAGGCGTGAGCCACTGCGCCCGGCAGTCTTTCCTTCTTTTTTTTTTTTTTTTTTTTTTTTTTTTAATGACATGGGGTCTTACTTTATTACTCAGGCTGGTCTCAAACTTCTGGCCTCAAGGAATCTTCCCACCTTGGCCTCCCAAATTGCTGGGATTACAGGCATAAGTCATCATGCCTGGCTACAAACAGATATTTTCAATAAGAGGATAAAAGTTCATTTCCCCATACTTTGCTAACATCAAATGTTATTAATTCCTAATAGTTTTGCCAAACTGAGAGGAAAATGGTATGTTAGTTTTTCTGGGTTTTCTTTCTTTTTAATTTTTTTTCTTTTTTATTCATCGCAACACTATTCACGATTTTTTTATTTTTTATTTTATTTATTTATTTATTTTTTTTTGAGACAAGGTCTCCCTATGTTGCCCAGGCTGGTCTTGTACCCCTGGGCTCAAAGGATCCTCCTGCCTCAGCCTCCCAAAGTGCTAGGATTACAGGCATGAGTCACCACGCCTGGTTCACAATTTCTTTTTGTTTTTACCAAAGGCAGGTATATTCCTGAAATTTTTTGTTTTTTTGTTTTTTTTTTGAGATGAAGTCTCACCCTGTCACTCAGACTGGAGTGCACTGGCACGATCTCAGCTCACTGCAACCTCCGCTTCCTAGGTTCAAGCGATTCTCCTGCCTCAGTCTTCAAAGTAGCTAGGATTATAGGCGCCGCAACCATGCTCAGCTAATTTTTGTATTTTTAGTAGAGACAGGATTTCACCATGTTGGCCAGGGTGATCTCAAATCCTGACCTCAAGTGATCCGCCTGCCTCAGCCTCCCAAAGTGCTGGGATTACTGGCATGAGCCACCGTGCCAGGCCCTGAAATGTTATCTTAGTTATTAATTTGCAATTCCTTGGCTCTAGAGGTTGGGCATCTTCTCAGATCTCTAGTGGACATTTGGATTTTCTTTTTGGTGAACTGTCCAGTTTTTCTCTCTGCTTTACAATCTTTATTATATGCAATCTTCACATGTAGGTACTACCATTTTTTTAGTTTGTTTTTGAAACAGCATATTGCTCTGTTGCCCAGGCTGGAGCACGGTGGCAAAAACATGGCTTACTGCAGCCTTTGACCTCCTTGGCTCAAGTACTCCTCCTGTCTCAGCCTCCTGAGTAGCTGGTACCACAAGCCCATACCACCATGCCCAGCTAATTTATTTTTGTAGAGATGGGGCCTGACCATGTTACTTGGGCTCAAATGATCCTCTCCCACTCAGCCTCCCAAAGTGCTAGGATTACAGGCATGAGCCACCATACTTGGCCCTTTTTTTTTTTTTTTTTTTTTTTTTTTTTTGAGACAGAGTCTTGCTCTGTCTCACAGGCTGGTGTGCAGTGGCACGATCTCAGCTCATTGCAACCTCCACCTCCCAGTTTCAAGTGATTTTTGTGCCTCAGCCTCCCTAGTAGCTGAGATTACAGGCATGCACCACCATGCCTGGCTGACTTTCATATCTTTAGTGTTGCCATGTTGGCTAGGCTGGTCTCAAACTCCTGACCTCATGTGATCCACCTGCCTCGGACTCCCACAGTGCTGGGATTACAGGTGTTAGCCACCACCCCGACATTATTTGAAACTTTTATTTTATCATGAGAGAGTTCCAGGAGTCAACTGAAGAGAGATTTTTGGTATGAAAATTACATATGCAAAAAGACTGATTCCAGTACATGAAATTAAATTCAACATTTACATTAAATGCCTTCAAATATGGTAAAATGGTTTCTTTTGGCAGTTTACCTCATTATGTTTTGAATGATTTGTCTATCATATGAAATAACTTTTATAAATATAGTAACTCAGGCCTGGGCACAGCGGCTCAAGTGGGAGGACTGCTTAAGCAACCGAGTTTGAGACCAGCGTGGACAACATGGGGAGACCCCTTCTCTCCCAAAAAATAGCTGAGCATGGCAGCGCACTGCTAAAGGAAACAGAGTTTCTTTGGTGGGTGATTAAAATGTTCTGGAGTTAGATAGTAGTGATGGTTGCACAACCTTGTGAATATATTAAGGTTTCCGCTCTATCTACCATTCAATTGTACTCTCTAAAACGATTAATTCTATAGTATATCAATTATATCTCTAAATAATAAAAACAAAAAGAAATGGCTGGGTGCGGTGGCTCATGCCTGTAATCGCAGCACTTTGGGAGGCTGAGGCGGGCGGATCACAAGGTCAGGAGTTTGAGACCAACCTGACCAACATGGCAAAACCCAGTCTCTACTAAAAATACAAAAATTAGCTGGGTGTGGTGGCACACGCCTGTAATCCTAGGTACTCGGGAAGCTGAGACAGGAGAATCACTTGAACCCGGGAGGCAGAGGTTGCAGTGAGCCACTGCACTCCAGTCTGGGTGGCAGAGCGAGACTCCGTCTCAAAAAGAAAAAAATTAAAAAACAAAAAGAAACCTGGTTCTATATTTTGTTTAAATTTATTTTTTTAACCATCATGTAATATGTCCAGGTAATTTGTTTAAATTTTGACATCAAATGCAATTGTGAGAATTTTTATGATTCAGAAAAATCTAAGCAAGCTTTATAAAAACATACTTTTTTTTTTACTTTTTTTTTTTTTTCTGAGACACAGCCTCACTCTGTCGCCCAGGCTGGAGTGCAGGTTTTCATGTTTATCTGTGAGATGTACCTTTGGCACATTACTTTCCTGACATGAGATTTAAATTTTTTTTTTTATCTTGTGACAATTTAACTTTTTTGACACATAAAAATTGTACATATTTATTTGTTTGAGATGGAGTCGCACTCTGTCACTCAGGCTGGAGTGCAGTGGCGTGATCTTGGCTCACTGCAACCTCCGCCTCCCGAGTTCAAGTGATTCTCCTGGCTCAGCCTCCCAAGCAGCTGTCATTACAGGCCTGCACCACCACACCCGGCTGATTTTTGTATTTTTAGGAGAAACAGGGTTTCACCATGTTGGCCAGGCTGGTCTTGAAGTCCTGACCTCAAGTGATCCACCCACCTTGGCCTCCCAAAGTGCTGGGATTATAGGCATGAGCCACCGTACCAGACCCCTAAAAATTGTATATATTTAAGGTGTACCATTTGATGTTTAGATATACATTGTGAAATGATTACATTCCACATATTACCTCTACAGAGTTACCATTTTTGTACACTTGGTCAACATCATCCCATTCTCCCCTTCCTCCACAGATATTTCTTGTATACTATATAGAAGCCAAGGGTATTTTGGGGGAAGAGCTCAAAGTTCCTTTCGTGGAGTTAAAAATATATATATACTATGTACATATAAGCCATTTAGCAACCCTAGATGCTTAATAAAGAATACTGGAGGCCCGGTGTGGTGGCTCACACCTGTAATCCCAGCACTTTGGGAGGCCGAGGCGGTCGGATTACGAGGTCAGGAGTTCAAGACCAGCCTGGCCAACATGGTGAAACCCCATCTTTACTAAAAATACAAAAATTAGCCGGGTGTGGTGGTGGGCGCCTGTAATCCCAGCTACTCGGGGGGCTGAGGCAGAATTGCTTGAACCTGGGAGGCAGAGGTTGCAGTGAGCTGAGATCACGCCACTGCATTCCAGCCTGGGTGACAGAGCAATACTCTGTCGCAAAAAAAAAAAAGAATACTGGAGGCTGGGCGAGGTGGCTCACACCTGTAATCCCAGCATTTTGGGATGCCAGAGGCGGGCGGAATATCTTGAGCTCAGGAGTTCGAGACCAGCCTACACAATATGCTCCAAACGCCGCCTCTACAAAACATACAGAAACTAGCCGGGTGTGGTGGCGTGCCCCTGTGGTCCTAGCTACTTGGGAGGTTGAGGCGGGAGGATCGCTTGAGCTCGGGAGGTCGAGGCTGCAATGAGCCGAGATGGTGCCACTGCACTCTGACGACAGAGCGAGACTCCGTCTCAAAACAAACAACAAATAAGGTTGGGGGATCAAATATCTTCTAGTGTTTAAGGATCTGCCTTCCTTCCTGCCCCCATGTTTGTCTTTCCTTGTTTGTCTTTATATAGATCAAGCAGGTTTTAAATTCCTAGTAGGAGCTTACATTTACTTTTCCAAGGGGGAGGGGGAATAAATATCTACACACACACACACACACACACACACACACACACACACTGGAGTTCGAGACGAGGCCTAAGCAACATGCCGAAACCCCGTCTCTACTAAATACAAAAAATAGCTGAGCTTGGTGGCGCACGCCTATAGTCCTAGCTACTGGGGAGGCTGAGGTGGGAGGATCGCTTGAGCCCAAGAAGTCGAGGCTGCAGTGAGCCGAGATCGCGCCGCTGCACTCCAGCCTGAGCGACAGGGCGAGGCTCTGTCTCAAAACAAACAAACAAAAAAAAAAGGAAAGGAAATATAACACAGTGAAATGAAAGGATTGAGAGAAATGAAAAATATACACGCCACAAATGTGGGAGGGCGATAACCACTCGTAGAAAGCGTGAGAAGTTACTACAAGCGGTCCTCCCGGCCACCGTACTGTTCCGCTCCCAGAAGCCCCGGGCGGCGGAAGTCGTCACTCTTAAGAAGGGACGGGGCCCCACGCTGCGCACCCGCGGGTTTGCTATGGCGATGAGCAGCGGCGGCAGTGGTGGCGGCGTCCCGGAGCAGGAGGATTCCGTGCTGTTCCGGCGCGGCACAGGCCAGGTGAGGTCGCAGCCAGTGCAGTCTCCCTATTAGCGCTCTCAGCACCCTTCTTCCGGCCCAACTCTCCTTCCGCAGCCTCGGGACAGCATCAAGTCGATCCGCTCACTGGAGTTGTGGTCCGCGTTTTTCTACGTCTTTTCCCACTCCGTTCCCTGCGAACCACATCCGCAAGCTCCTTCCTCGAGCAGTTTGGGCTCCTTGATAGCGTTGAGTGGAGGCCCTGCCGCGACTTGGCAGTAGCTTATTTTGTTCACTCCTCTCTGGCTGGTGTGGGGGAGGTGGGGGCATTAGGCCAGGGTGAAGCAGGGGAACCACTTAGGAGTCTGTTAAGATGATCTGAACTTCAGAACAAGATGTTATTAACAGAGTGAAAGTATTTGGATTCTGGGTATATTTTGAAATCGGAGGCAACAGGTTTTTCAGATAGATTCGATAACGGAGGTTATCCTGAATAGTTGAAAAGATAAAGTTGCCTTTTGCTGAGGTGGGAAAGAGAAGATTGCCAGTAGAGCAGGTTTCTCAGGAGTTCAGTCTTGGGCATAGCATGGTAGGGGTGAATTTGGCTGGAGTGAGTTGGAGAGTAGGAGAAGAGAAATCCAAGGCAACATTTGACCAGCCTGGGCAACATAGTGTGACTCCGAGTCTGCAAAAATTAGACGGGTGTTGTGGTGCGCGTCTGTGGTCTCAGCTACCTGGAAGGTTCAGGCCTTGGAAGGCTCAGGGAGGTGGAGGCTGCAGTGATCTGTGATTGCGCCTCTGCACTCCAGCCTGGGCGACAGAGCCAGACCCTGTCTTAAAACAAAATAAACGGCCGGGCGCGGTGGCTCAAGCCTGTAATCCCAGCACTTTGGGAGGCCGAGGCGGCCGGATCACAAGGTCAGGAGATCGAGACCATCCTGGCTAACACGGTGAAACCCCGTCTCTACTACAAATACAAAAAATTAGCCGGGCGTGGTGACGGGCGCCTGTAGTCCCAGCTACTCGGGAGGCTGAGGCAGGAGAATGTCATGAAGCCGGGAGGCGGAGCTTGCAGTGAGCCGAGATCGCGCCACTGCACTCCAGCCTGGGCGATAGAGCAAGACTCCGTCTCAAATAAATAAATAAATAAATAAATAAATAATAAAAACATCGGTAGGCATATTTCAAGGAATTCTATTTAAAAAAAATTTTTTTAGAGACAAGTTCGCTCTCTGTGGCCCAGGCTGGAGTACAGTGGCATGATCCTAGCCCATGGCAGCGTTGATCTCTTGGCCTCAAGCGACCCTCCTTTGGAGTCGCTGGGCCTAAAGGAGTGAGCCACCACGAAATTTTATTATAAATGGAGGGTAGAGAAATTGGGCAATAAATGGAGGGGGAAGTGAGTTAAGAGGAATTTTAATTATGTGTGTGTGGTTTTAAAAGAGGGGGGTCTTGCTCTGTTGCCCAGGCTGCTGGGGTGCCAGTGGCGCAATCATGAATCACTACAGCCTTGGACTCCTGGCCTCAAGCTATCCTCCCACCTCTGCCTCCCAAAGTACTGGGATTACTAGTGTGAGCCACTGCACTAAGATAGGAGCAACATGTTTCAGCATGTTTGTGGGTTGATAGGAAAGATGAGAATGGGAAAGTTGATGTCGGAAAGAAGACAATGGCTAGAGCAATGTCCTAGAGTAGGTAAGAAGGGATGGATTTGGCCTTTGTTGGAAACATTAGCGGTTCTTTTGGTGACAGCTATATAGTTAACACATCTATGATACGTGAATGGGCAGATAGGATGGCAGGAGATTTTGAAAGTTCTCTTGATTCTTACTGTTCTCTTAGTGAAAGAAGCAAGGTTATCAGCTAGAAGCTGGGATGGGAGAGGAAAGAGAAGATGGGAAGTAGATAGTTCTTTAGAAGAGTGGGCAAGGGTTGGACTAGGGAAGTTTAGTGGAAATATTGCTAGGCAACATAAAGAGCCTACTTGAGATTCGTGGTCATGAGTTGAAGGAGACCAGACAGCAAGATTGTGTATGAGGGCACCCACAGAGTAAATGGAGAGTTGAAATTAATGCAGTTGTGATTTTACCACGTGGATATGAAGAAGTGAGGGGGAGAAGTACAAAGGAGTTCTCTTAATGATTGACCATGGAATTTAAGCTGGCTAAGAAAGGAAGTGAGAGGCCGGGCGCGGTGGCTCACGCCTGTAATCCCAGCACTTTGGGAGACTGAGGTGGGTGGATTACCTGAGGTCAGGAGTTTGAGACCAACCTGGCCGATATGGCGAAACCCCATCTCTAATAAAAATACAGAAAAATTAGCCGGGAATGGTGGCAGGTGCCTGTAATCCCAGCTACTCAAGAGGCTGTGGCAGGAGTATCCCTTGGACCCAGGAGGTGGAGGTTGCAGTGAGCCGAGATCACGCCACTGTACTCCAGCCTGGACGATATAGTGAGACTTCACCTCAAAAAAAAAAAAAAAGAAAGGAAGTGAGGATTTTAAGACCCTGAGAGACAGTTTAAAAAGTGGGAGGATCGGCCGGGCGCTGTGGCTGACACCTGTAATCCCAGCACTTTGGGAGGCCGAGTTGGGCAGATCACAAGGTCAGGAGTTCGAGACCAGCCTGGCCAATATGGTGAAACCTTGTCTCTACTAAAAATACAAAAATTAGCCGGGCATGGTGTCACGTGTCTATAATCCCAGCTACTCGGGAGGCTGAGGCAGAAAAATTGCTTGAACCTGGGAGGCAGAGGTTGCAGACAGCTGAGATCACTCCATTGCACTCCAGCCTGGGCAACAAGAGCAAAACTTTGTCTTTAAAAAAAAAAAAAAAAAAAAGAATACAAAAATTAGCCGGGCGTGGTGGCGCGTGCCTATAATCCCAGCTACTTGGGAGGCTGAGGCAGGAGAATCAGTTGAACACGGGAGGCGAGGTTTGCAGTGAGCCGAGATTGCGCCACTGCACTCCAGCCTGGGCGACAGAGCAGGACTCCTCTTGGAAAAAAAAAATTAGCTGGGCATGGTGGCAGGTGCCTGTAGTCTCAGCTACTAGGGAGGCTGAGGCAGGAAAATCACTTGAACCCGGGATGTGGAGTTTGCAGTGACCCGAGATCGTGCCACTGTACTCCATCCTGGGCGACAAAATGAGACTCTGCCTCAAAAAAAAAAAAAAAAAAAAAGTGGGAGGATCAATGTACTGCCAGTCCTAATGAAGTGGAATGATTGTCCCCATCAAATCACTAGTAGGAGTAAGTTGCAGAGCCTAGAAGGTGATGGTTAAGAGAGTGGGATTCTTGAAACTGCATTTATGGAGAGGTTGTGGTTATTGGTTATAATAAATAAATACAGTTGAAGTGAGTGAGTAGCTGAGATTTGGGGATGTATCAGTTCATTCTTACACTGCTACAAAGACATACCTGAGACCAGGTATTTATAAAGATAAGAGGTTTAATCAGCTCACAGTTCTGCTGCCTGTACAGGCTTCTCTTGTGGAGGCCTAAGGAAACTTACAGTCATGGTGGAAGGTGAAGGGGAAACAAGCACAGTCTTCACATGGCCAGCAGGAGAGAGAGAGAAGGGGGAAGTGCTACATACTTTAAAACAACCAGATCTTGTGAGAACGCTTATCAGGAAACAGCACTTGGGGATGGTGCTAAATCATTAGAAATCACCCCCATGATCCAGTCGCCTCCTACCATGCCCACCTCCAACACTGGGGATCACAATTCAGCATGAGATTTGGGTAGGAACACAGAGCTGCACCACATCAGAGGATGTACAAGATTGTGGTGGAGAGGAGTTTAGAGACCTGCAAATATAGGGTAATTGAAGGGATCATCTACATGGATATTTAAATCACCAAAAATTATGACAGGAGTAGTGTTGGAGAGAGAACTGCGATGTAAACATTAAGGAATGAGGAAGAGTGACTCGGTAGGCTGTAGGTGACTGCAATAGGAAACGATAATAGACTGTGAGTCTGGTGACAAGATTTTCCTTCTTTCTTTTTTCCCCCCCCCCGAGACAGGGCCTCTTTTTGTTGCCCAGGTGGGAGTGCAGTGGCGCGATCACGGCTCACTACAACCTCCTCCCAAGCTCAAGGGATTCTCCCACTTCAGCCTCTCAAGTAGCTGGAACTACAGGTGCTGACCACCATGCCTGGCTACTTTTTGTCAGGATTTTCAAGGCTGGGAATTTTGAGAGGGGAATGGAGGAGAATAATCTGAAAGTGCAAGTAAGGAGCAGGGAAGATTTCTTTTTTCTTTTTTTTTTTTTTTTTGAGTCGGAGTCTGGCTCAGTCGCCCAGGCTGGAGTGCAGTGGCGAGATCTCCGCTCACTGCAAGCTCCGCCTCCCGTGTTCACGCCATTCTCCTCCTTCAGCCTCCCGAGTAGCTGGGACTACAGGCGCCCGCCACCACGCCCAGCTAATTGTTTTTTTGTATTTTTAGTAGAGACGGGGTTTCACCGTGTTAGCCAGGATGGTCTCAATCTCCTGACTTTGTGATCCGCCCACCCCGGCCTCCCAAAGCGCTTGGGATTACAGGCGTGAGCCACCGCGCCAGCCAGAGCAGGGAAGATTTCTTCCCCACATCTCCAGTAGGTACAGTGATATGAAGTGTGTGGAGGAGAAAAGAGGAAACATCTATCATTTGAGATGGCTGCGAAAGGAAAAGGCATCCTCAGGGAGCTAGATTTTACTTAGAGCAAGAAATGAAGGGATGATTCAGAGGTTAAAGAGTGGATTTTATGAATTACTCAAGGGAGCACAGTGGAAGTTTCAGGAAGTGGTAGGAGAAGGTAGAAGATGGCAGGGTGTTGGGAATAATTTGAGAAATCTGAGCTACTGGAAATGACTGAGAATCAGATATAAAGGCAGTCCTGGTGGTCCGTTCTGGCTGCCGTTGCTGTGTAACGAATCTGCCAAAACTTAGTGGCTTGAAACAACAAAGAACATTTTATTATCTCTCATTGTTTCTGTGGGTTAGGAATTTGTGAGAGCCGTGCTGGGCAGTTTTCGTGCGGCTGTCTCGTGGTTGCACCTACATAGTTGCTAGAGCTACAGTAGCTGGGGACTGAGCAGCTAGGGATTGGCAGGCTATCTCTTTTTTTCATGTAGTCTCATGAAGATTTCTTTATGTGGTTTCAATGTGTGGGCTGGTTTGGATTTCCTTATAGCATGGTGGCCTCAGTTGGATTGCTGTTTTGTGATCCTTTTCATCCCTCCTTGTCCTGTCCCCAGACAACCACTGATCTACTTTCTGTCACCATAGATTAGCCTGCATTTTTAAGAATTTTTATAAACGTGGAATGATAGAGTACCTTTTTTGTCACGTTTCTTTTATTTATCATAGCTATTTTGATTTTCATCCATTTTATTGCTGAGTAGTATCCCATTGCATGTATATACTATACTGTATTCATTCGCTTGCTTGTGAACATTTGGGCTTTTTCCAGTTTGGGACTGTTAACAAGTAGAGCCACTATGAATATTAGTGTATAAGACTTCATATAGCCAAGGCTGGCAGATCGCTTGAGCCCAGGAGTTTGAGACCAGCCTGGGAAACATGGTGAAACCTCTATTTTTATTTTAAAATCAAAAATTAAAAATTTTCTATAAAAAATTTTAAAGAAGACTTTGTATAGACATACGCTTTCATTTTTCTTGAGTGAATACTTAGGTCTCAGGGTAGATGTATTTTAAGTCTTTAAGGAGCTGTCAAACTCTTCCTCAAAGTGGTGGTTGTACCATGTTACTTTTTAATATAACAGAGATTAATTGAGCAAAGAAAAATTCAAAAGTTGGACAGCCCCCACAACTAAATAGGTTCAGAACAGCTCCCCCATTTTGCATTTTGACCAGCAATGTATGAAAGTTCCATTTGCTCAGTGTCCCTGCAAACACCTGGTATGGTCAGTCTTTTTAATTTTAGGCATTATAATAGATATAGTGGCTTCTTGTGATTTTAATTAGCATTTCCTAATGACCAGTGCTGCTGTTGATCATTTCATGAGTGTATTTGCCATCCGTATATCTTTTTTGGTGAAGTGTCTATTCAAATCATTTGGGTTTTTTTTTTGTTTGTTTTTTTTTTTTGGAGACAGTGTCTCACTCTGTCACCCAGGCTGTTGTGCAGTGGTGCAATCACACAGCCTACTGCAGCCTCCACCTCCTGCGCTCAGTCTTCTTGTCTCAGCCTTCTGAGTAGCTGAAATTACGAGCACACGCCACAATGCCTGGCTAATTTTTTAAAATTTTGTAGAAACAAGGTCTCATTATGTTGCCTGGGCTTGTCGTGAACTCCTGGGCTCAAGCAATCTTCCTGCCTCAGCCTCCCAAAGATTGGGATTGCAAGTATGAGCCACTGCACCCGGCCAACTTACCCATCTTTTAATTGAATTTTTTTGTTGTTGAGGTTTGAGAGTTCTTCATGTTTGCTGGGTACAATATCTTTATCAGATAGGTAACTTGCATGTATTTTCTCCCGGTTTACACTTTGGTTTTTCATTTTGTTAACAACGTCTTTTTAAGAACAGAAAATCTTAATTTTGCTGAAATCTAATTTTTCAGTTTTTTCTTTGATGGTTTTGAGAGAGGAGGTAAAAAAAGACTAGGTAAGCCGATAGTTAGACAGAGTCCTCGGTAGAACTTCCCTTCTAACAAAAAGCAGCCCAAGAAATCACTTCTCTTCTAACAAGGAGCAGCCTGGAAGATCGGGCTGTAAACATGTATAAGGAAGCAGCTCTGGCACAGAGGGGGAGCTTCCTGGGTAATCAGCAAGCTTCACATACGTAAGGTGGGTATGTGAAGTAAACACAGTATGTGAAGTAAACACAGTGGACCTTAGTACATACTCAGATAAGGAAGCTGGAAGCTTGCATGTTGTGAGTTGTTGGGGTTGCCTGCAGCTGCACGGAGAGAAAGGGGTACCTGGGGCCAGGCATGTCCACCATGGTGGCTCCACCTCCCCTTATTTAGCACATGCACAATAGGAAAGAGATAAGCAATGTGGAGTAGCTCAGGCCAAGGACCTGCCTGCATAATAAAAGGTTGGGGTGGGGGATGCCAGAGATTCACGCTCTGTGCAGATGGCAACACCTGGTCCTAACTGGTTTTTTGCTCCCTATGTGTAGATAAGCTACCCCCTTCCCATTAGCTCATTTATAAAAATGCTTGCATTTCACTGTGGAATGGGAACTCTTTTCAGGACCTCTCTCTGCAGGAGAGAGCTAGTCTCTTTCTTTTGCCTATTAAACTTCTGCTCTAGCCTCACACCCTTGGTGTGTCAGCGTCCTTGATTTCCTCAGCGTGAGACCAAGAACCTCGGGTGCCACCCCAGGCAACAAGGCCATTTCAGTTTGTTCTTTTGTTATAGGCAATCCATGATCACAGATTTTTCTCTCTTTTTTTTTTTTACACAGTTTAGAGTTTTAGTTTTACACTTAGGTCTGTAATCCATTTTGTATTAATTCTTATATGTGGCTCAGTGTAGGTGGAAATTTGGTTTGTTTTTGCATAAGGATTTCCAATAGTTTTACCACCATTTCTTGAAACTACTATGCTTTCTCTATTAAACCACATTTGTAACTTTAGTTAAAATCAGTCACATATATCACAGGGCTATTTCTGACTCTCAATTCTGTTACATTGTCTATTAGTGTATATTGATGTCAGTACTACACTTTTAATTACTATTGCTTCAGGGTATGTCTTGTAAACCAAAAATAAAATTATAGGCCCCCCCCGCCCCTGCACAACCAACTGAATGGACCCATCCTCTCAGCCAAGGGCATTCCAAAATTAACCTGAAAAACTAGTTCAAGCCATGATGGGAAGGGGGAGTTGGACATGTCTCATCACACCCTACTACCTTTTGGAATTACTGATAGAACAGACTCTTAAAGTCTGAAAAGAAACATTTACAACCTACCCTCTCTGAAGCCTGCTACCTGGGAGCTTCATCTGCATGATAAAACCTTGGTCTCCACAACCCCTTATGGTAACCCAAACATTCCTTTCTGTTGATAATAACTCTTTCAACTAGTTGCCAATTAGAAAATCTTTAAATCTTCCTATGACCTAGAAACCTCCCTACCCCCACTTTGAGTTGTCCTGCCTTTCCTGACAGAACTCATGTACATCTTACATATATTGATTGATGCCTCATGTCTCCCTAAAATGTATAAAACAAAGCTGTACCCCACCACCTTGGGGACATGTCATCAGGACCTCCTGTGGCTGTGTCATAGGAGCGTCTTTAACTTTGGCAAAATAAACTTTCTAAATTGATTGAAACCTGTCTTAGCTACTTCTGGTTTACAGTCTTAAAGTTAGATAATGTAAATTGTCCAGCTTTGGTTTATTTTTGTCCTTAGTAGTTCCATATAAATTTTAGAATCAGCTTTTCAATTTAATACACTACTTTCCTCTTAGATCCACAATTAAATATATTTGATGCTAACAATTCTGTTTTATGTTTTTCGTTTTTTTTTTTTGAGACAAGAGTTTCGCTCTTGTTGCCCAGGCTGGAGTGCAGTGGCGCGATCTTGGCTCACCACAACCTCCACCTCCCAGGTTCAAGCAATTCTTCTGCCTCAGCCTCCCGAGTAGCTGGGATTACAGGCATGCGCCACCACGCCCGGCTAATTTTGTATTTTTAGTAGAGACGGGGTTTCACCATGTTGATCAGGCTGGTCTTGAACTCCTGACCTCAGGTGATCCACCCACCTCGGCCTCCCAAAGTGTTGGGATTACAGGCGTGAACCACCATGCCTGGCCAGTTCTGTTATTTTTAAAACCCAAGTTTCCCTGGTCATATCTTGGTTGGATGAAGCGTATTTTCAATAGATTACCCTGGAAAGGCTAGTGAGTACGGTATTCTTCTACATTTTAGACTTTTCTTAGTCTTGCTACTTCAAGGACAGCTAGGCTGCATATAAAATTCTTGGCTCATACTTTTTCCCCATAAATTTCTATGAGAAAGTCTAATGATAACTGATTTTCTTTATTTTGTAACTTAGTCTTTTTGCTTAGAGGCTCTCTGAGGATGGGAGGGGGTTCTTCCTCCCATCCCTAGGAATTTTTCTTTTTTTTAAATTCCTAATCACTAGACCACCAGGAAGATTGTTTGTTTTGTTTTGTTTTTATTCTTCAGGGACCCCATTTATACATACGTTAAATAAATACTGTTTGCCAATGTATCAACCATTTTGCTTCTTATTTATTTTTGTTCCTTTGGTTCTTTTTCATGGCTTTGCTTTGGTGCTCCTTAGATTTTCAGTCAGATGTATTTGTCCTTGGGTACCTTGTAATCAGTATTACCTTTTCTTCTGTCGCTTTGTTTTCTGTTCGTTTTGAAATTACTTGTTTCCTGGTCTGGCAATAACAGTTGAGATATGAGGAGTTTGAGCTGCCATCTGTCTGTGTATCTTGCTTTAAGACTGCACTCTTCTATTGATATCACTGGCCTTGATTTTGTGATTTCTTTATTTCTTCAGGACCACCCTTCATTTTCTACTGTTTGCTTCCTTTTTTTTTGAGATGGAGTCTCACTCTGTCACTCAGGCTGGAGTGCAGTGATCTTGGCTCATTGCAACCTCTGCCTCCCGGGTTCCAGCAATTCTCCTGCCTCAGCCTCCCAAGTATCTGGGACTACAGGTGTGCACCACCATGCCCGGCTAAGTTTTGTATTTTTAATAGAGACGGGGTTTTGCCACATTGGCAGGCTGGTCTCAAACTCCTGATGTCAAGTGATCCACCCACCCCACCCACCTCTGCATCCCAAAGTGCTGGGATTACAGGAATGAGCTGCCGTGCCCAGCCTCCCCCCTACCCCCCTTTTTTTCTTTCGAGACAGAGATTATAGGTGTGAGCCACTGGACCCAGCCTGTTTTTATTCCTTTTACCAAATCTCCAAGGAATATCTTCCCTTCCAAGTGCGAATGTAACCTTAAGTCAGTTAACCTCTTTGTGATTACTTTTCTTATCTGCAAAGTGACTTAATGATCTTAAGTACTTTTTTTTTTTGAGACAGGGTCTCACTGTCACCCTGGCTGGAGTGCAGTGGCACGATCTCTGATCTCCACTCACTGCAATCTCCTCTTCCCTGGTTCAAGCGGCCCTCCCACCTTAGCCTTCTGGGTAGCTGGGACTACAGATGTGAACCACCACGCCCAGCTAATTTTTGTACTTTTTGTAGAGATGGGGTTTTGCCATGTTGCCCAGGCTGGGATTATTAAGTACTTTTTATCATACAGCAAGATTGACATTTTATATTGGAATACATTTGTCTCTATATAACGGAGATTAACAGGAAAATGACAAGCCTGGGTGCGGTGGCTCATGCCTGTAATCCCAGCACTTTGGGAGGCTGAGGTGGGAGGATCACTTGAGGTCAGGAGTTCGAGACCAGTTTTGCCAAGATGATGAAAGCCCATGTCTACTAAAAATACAAAAATTAGCCCAGCTTGATGGTGGGCGCCTATAATCCCAGCTATTTGAGAGACTGAGGCAGGAGAATCACTTGAACCTGGGCGGCAGAGGTTGCAGTGAGCCGAGATCATGCCACTGCACTCCAGCCTGGGTGGCATAGCGAGACTCTTGTCTCAAGAGAAAACAAAACAAAACAAAAAAAAAACAGGAAAATGACAAAAAGTAATATTACAACTCAGTGAATTTTATAACAAACTTTTTTGGAATTCATTGACTAATACTATACCAAATCCAAAATACTCTCTAGTATACCAAATCCAACTCTACCCTATAGTATAAATTGGATTCTATTTGGACTTGTCTCACTAATCCCTCATACAGTGTGTTTTATTTTTTATTGAAGTAAAAAAATTTGTCATTTTAACCATTTTTAAGTATATAGTTCAGTAATATTAAGTATGTTCATGTTGTTGCGCAATAGATCTTCGGAAGTTTTTCGTCTTGCAACCTGAAACTCTACCCATTAGCAAATTCCCATTTCTCCTTACACTTAGCCCTTGGTAATCATCATTCTTTTTTTTTTTTTTTTTTTTTTGAGATGGAGTTTTACTCTTGTTGCCCAGGCTGGAGTGCAATGGTGCAATCTCGACTCACCACAACCTCCGCCTCCCAGGTTCAAGCAATTCTACCTCAGCCTCCCGAGTAGCTGGGATTACAGTCATGCACCACCACGCCCGGCTAATTTTGTATTTTTAGTAGAGAAGGGGTTTCTCCATGTTGAGGCTGGTCTCGAACTCCTGACCTCAGGTGATCTGCCCACCTCGGCCTCCCAAAGTGCTGGGATTACAGGCGTGAGCCACTGCGCCTGGCCCATTCTTTCTAATTCTATAAATTTGACTACTTAGTTACCTTACATAAATAAATTCTTATAGTTAGTGTTATTTTTGCTTCCATGCCTTTTTTGTTGTTGTTCATGCTCTTACTTGGAATGCGTTCTATTTTGTCTACCTATGCACATCCTGTTGGGTTTTTTTTTTTTTTGGGGGGTTTTTTTTGTTTTTTTTTGTTTTTTTTTCCCAGACAAGGTCTCAATTTGTTACCCAGGCTGGAGTGCAGCGGCGCCATCTCCACTCACTGCATCCTCAACTTCCTGGGCCCAGGTGATCCTCTCGCCTCAGCCCCTGCAGGTAGCTGGGACTATAGGCATGTGCCACCATGCCCAGCTAAATTTGGTTTTTTTGTTTGTTTGTTTTTGAGACAGAGTCTCACTGTGTCACCCAGGCTGGAGTGCAGTGGCACAATCTCAGCTCACTGCAATCTCTGCCGCCCGGGTTCAAGTGATTCTCCTGCCTCAGCCTCCCAAGCAGCTGGGATTACAGGTGACTGCCACCACGCCAGCTAAGTTTTGTAGTTTTAGTAGAGATGGGGTTTCACCTTGTTGGCCATGCTGGTCTCGAACTCCTGACCTCGTGATCTGCCTGCTTCTGCCTCCCAAAGTGCTGGAATTACAGGCATGAGCCACCACGCCCGGCCAGAATTTTTGTATTTTTAGTAGACACAAGGTTCTTACCCTGTTGCCTAGGCTGGTCTGGAAGTCCTGGACTCAAGCAATTCACCTGCCTTGGCCTCCCAAAATGCTGGGATTACAAGCCACCATGCCCGGCCTAAATCCTGTTGTTTTGTTTTGTTTTATTTTGTTTTGTTTTGTTTTGTTTGTTTTTTGAGACAGAGTCTCGCTATGTCTCTCAGGCTGTAGTGCAGTGGCGCGATCTTGGCTCACTGCCACCTCTGCCTCCCAGGTTCAAGTGATTCTCCTGCCTCAGCCTCCCAAGTAGCTGGGATTACAGGCATGTGCTACTATGTCCGGCTAATTTTTGTATTTTTAGTAGAGACAGGGTTTCACCATGTTGGCCAGGCTGGTCTCGAACTCCTGACCTCGTGATCCACCCACCTCGGCCACCCAAAGTGCTGGGATTACAGGCGTGAGTGGTTTTTATTTCTTAGGCCGGTTTCCTCCATATGATCTTGCAGTAGACATTAATTTCTTTCCTTTTTAATTAAAATACTGTTTGTATTTCACATTTTGATGTTTGTTAAGATTTGTTTTATATTGTTTTTTGTTTTGTCTTGTGTGATAGTCTTAAATCCCTAGTTAGATAATAACTGGAGAGTACCATGTTTCTATATATCTCTCAGTGACTTGCACAGTGCTAGCAGATAGTGCTAAAAAATTATTTATTATTATTATTATTTTGTTATTGTTGTTGTTGTTGTTAGACAGGGTCTTCCTCTGTCACCCAGGCTAGAGGGCAATGGGATGATCATAGCTTACTGCAGCCTCCAACAACTGGGCTCATGTAATTCTCCTGCCTCAGCTTCCCAAGTAGCTGGGATTACAGGCATGAGCCACCATGTCTGGACAAAAATATTTCCAGGTGCAGTGGCTCATGCCTGTAATTCCCACACTTGGGAGGCCGAGCGAGGCTGGAGGATCACTTGAGCCTAGGAGTTCAAGACCAGCTTGGCTAAGATGGCGAGACCCCGTCCCTACAAAAAATTTTAAAAACTAGCCAGGCATGGTGGCATGCACCTATATTCCCAACTACTCAGTGGGCTGAGGTGGGAGGGTCGTTTGAACACAGGAATTTGAGGGGAGAAAAAAAGAAGAGAGAAAGAGAAGTGAAGGAAGGAAGAAAGGAAGGAGGGAGGGAGAGAAGAAAGAAACGAAAGAAAGGAAAAGAAAAGGAAGGAAAGAAAATTGGTACCAGGAAAGCAGGAAAGGGAAATGGAAGTAAAAAAATAATAATAATAATAAAATGAAAATTGGTTAGTCACTATTAACAATTTGTATCCTTATAATCTGGAAACATTATAATTTCAAAAGAAAAAATATTCTTTGGATCATAGGTTCTGAGGTCAGAACAGCATTCCCGTAGTCTAGATGAAGTCAAGTTTTATCTGATCTTAATTGAAATAAATATAGCTGGCCTTGAACAAATCTACTCATGGTATGTGGATAGGAATTAAATTGTAGGGGCATTCACTTGATGGCATTCATTCTTAGAACATTTACCTATGTCTAGCTTTTGGAGTAAAGTCACATAACCTCTAACCAGGTAAGTTTCCTGTGGCTTTATTTAGGATTTTAAATACTCATTTTCAGTGTAATTTTGTTATGTGTGGATTAAGATGACTCTTGGTACTAACATACATTTTCTGATTAAACCTATCTGAACATGAGTTGTTTTTATTTCTTACCCTTTCCAGAGCGATGATTCTGACATTTGGGATGATACAGCACTGATAAAAGCATATGATAAAGCTGTGGCTTCATTTAAGGTATGAAATGCTTGCTTAGTCGTTTTCTTATTTTCTCGTTATTCATTTGGAAAGGAATTGATAACATACGATAAAGTGTTAAAGTACATGTTATTCAGTTTTCATTTTGAAGATTAGATGGTAGTATGAGTTAGTTAAATCAGGTGATATCCTCCTTTAGAAGTTGATAGCCTATATATGTCATCCTTTGTGGAGGCAATTTAAATAAAATTTAAAACATTTATTCCTGGCTGGGTATGGTGGCTCACTCCTGTAATCCCAGCACTTTGAGAGGCTGAGGCGGGTGGATCACCTGAGGTCAGGAGTTTGAGACCAGCCTGGCCAACATGGTGAAACCCCGTCTTTACTAAAAATACAAAAATTAGCCAAGCATGGTGGCACGTGCCTGTAATCCCAGCTGCTTGGGACACTGAGGCAGGAGAATTGCTTGAACCTGGGGGGCAGAGGTTGCAATGATTGCACCACTGCACTCCAGCCTGGGCGATAGAGTGAGACTCCATCTCAGAAAACGAACAAACAATGTATTCCTTTTAGTATTTTTACATTGTATCAAACTATGGAAGTCCTCTAATTGAGATTAATAAGAAAAAGACAATCTGAATTATAATTTTAAACATTTAACAAGCATGTAGTAAAATAATGATGAAGATAAATAGCATTAGTACAGCAATTAATATTTGTAGCATGCTGACAGTGCTCTGTGTGCGTTTCATATATTAAATTACTCTAATCATCCCAAATCCTGTAAGTTGGGTATCAATTCAAGTGTTCCTATTGGGTAGGAATATACAGTTCTTTTAGGAAATGTAGTATGGTTCTGTGTCTCAAACAGGACACTTACACAGTTGGCCAACATCATCACCTTCTCCATTCTCTGAGATGTTTAGTCTTACTGAGCACTAAATATGGGTCATCAATAGTCCAGACTACCTTGAGCAAACAATAGTCCAGACTACCTTGAGCAAACAGAGCATATACTCATACAGTGTATAAAGAGCACCAAGCATACAGATTTCATGTCTTTCTCATAGTTACTCTTGTAACATGAGCTAAAGATCAGACCTCTATGTCACCTTTGTAACTGATTTCTAGATTTTTTTTTTTTTTTGAGATGGGGTCTTGCCCTGTCACCCAGGCTGGAGTGTAGTGGCGTGATCATGCCTCATTGGAGCCTTCAACTCATGAGCTCAAACAATCCTCCTACCTCAGCTTCCTGAGTAGTTGGGACCACAGGTGTGTGCCACCACACCCAGCTCATTTTTGTATTCTTTGTAGAGATGCAGTCTCACCCTGTTGCCCACGCTGGCCTGGAACTCCTGAGCTCAAAAGATCCCTCCGCCTTGACCTTCCAAAGTGCTGGGATTACAAGCATGAACCACTGCACCCGGCCTAGATTTTTAAATGTGCTTTCCAGTATACACTGAAACTAGAAGTCGACTAAAGAATTACCAAGAGAATTCTATAAAATAGAGATTGAAATGGGGCTCGATGTGGGATGGGTTGGTGATATTGCAGGGAGAAGTAATCTGAGTAAAGGAGGAAAAGAACTGATTTGGGAAAACGATAGTTTTAGTAGTGAGTTTGAGTATGAATTAAGTTGAGATTGAATTTGAATTAAGTTGAGGTTGAATATGAATTAAGTTGAGGTTGAGTTTGAGGTATGAATTAAGATGTGAAATTGATCATTGGAAATGTTAGATTGAGAAAAGTCACAGCTGGATTAATAGCTTCAGAAGTGTGTTTGCAGACAGTTGCAACTAAAGTAATAAGAATAGATGGCCTTGGCCGGGCGCGGTGGCTCACGCCTGTAATCCCAGTACTTTGGGAGGCTGAGGCGAGCAAATCACGAGGTCAGGAGTTCAAGACCAGCCTGGCCCACATGGTGAAACCCCGTCTTTATTAAAAATACAAAAATTAGCTGTGCACAGTGGTGCACGCCTGTAATCCCAGCTACTCGGGAGGCTGAGACAGGAGAATCGCTTGAACCTGGGAGGTGGAGGTTGCAGTGAGCTGAGATCAGTGTGACTGCACTCCAGCCCGGTGACAGAGTGAGACTCTGTGTAAAAAAATAAAATAAATAAAATAATGGCCGTAAGCAAGTAAAGAAGGATGGCCAGCTCTTATTGGGAATGCCTAAATCTAAGGCTTGATCAGAAGTAATGAAACCGTTGGGGCCCTACATTGCTATGACATCCAAAGGGCCATGAATATCAGGAAGAAAGATAATTAACAGGGTCTAATGTTACAGAGAGGTTGAGAGCAAGGAGATTTGATTAAAAGGGTCTTTAGAGCTGATGTCAGGTGTATGATGCCTTTAAGAGCAGTTTTTATAGTGCAGGGGGTGGTCAAAAGAGAAAATAGGTGCTTTCTGAGGTGACGGAGCCTTGAGACTAGCTTATAGTAGTAACTGGGTTATGTCGTGACTTTTATTCTGTGCACCACCCTGTAACATGTACATTTTTATTCCTATTTTCGTAGCATGCTCTAAAGAATGGTGACATTTGTGAAACTTCGGGTAAACCAAAAACCACACCTAAAAGAAAACCTGCTAAGAAGAATAAAAGCCAAAAGAAGAATACTGCAGCTTCCTTACAACAGGTTATTTTAAAATGTTGAGATTTAACTTCAAAGGATGTCTCATTAGTCCTTATTTAATAGTGTAAAATGTCTTTAACTTAAGTGATTAGTACAGTGTTTCTATTGACATATACTTATACAACTTCAAAAACAACTATTAAATTTTCTGTTATTTAGGAACATGCATATTAGTCATGAAAGTATAAAGAATTAGATGGGAATGATAAATGCTAAAATCAGGACATGTGTTCCATTTGTGAATGGAAGGCAGGGAGAAGGTGCCGTTTGGAAGGAGTACCCAAGAGCCGTAAGCTGAATTGGCAGTGTTTTACATCTTAAGCTGAGAGATAGATTTTTTTTTCCCCTTTTTCTTTAAAAACTCTAAAACTGTTAATTCCAAGGAACCCAGAAGTCTAGGTAGATTATTTCTGCTAGTTAAAAGCAGTAGTCCTGAAAGCTGAATATTTTGGTGTCTTTTGAGCCAACTTTAGTTTCATCATTACCAAGGGGGAAGAGAGCTAACAGTTGATGAGCACTTGCTCTAGGCCAGTCCAGAGTGCTGGGCACCATACGCATTTTATCTCCCTCCCGCTATTCACAACAAATATGGGAGGTAGTTTATATTATAGCCATCTAATAAGATGGGGAAACTAAGACTCAAAGAGATTCAGAAACTTGTCCATGATTATAAATGTAAGAGAGTTGGAATTCAGATTTATGTATTTAGACCCCAAGCCTTTCTCATTACATCATTTTGCCTTCCAAATCTCTACCCTCTATCCTTCACCTCCCCACTGATCAAAACGAGATGATAGTTTGCCCTCTTCAAAAGAAATGTGTGCATGTATATATCTTTGATTTCTTTTGTAGTGGAAAGTTGGGGACAAATGTTCTGCCATTTGGTCAGAAGACGGTTGCATTTACCCAGCTACCATTGCTTCAATTGATTTTAAGAGAGAAACCTGTGTTGTGGTTTACACTGGATATGGAAATAGAGAGGAGCAAAATCTGTCCGATCTACTTTCCCCAATCTGTGAAGTAGCTAATAATATAGAACAGAATGCTCAAGAGGTAAGGATACAAAAAAAAAAAAATTCAATTTCTGGAAGCAGAGACTAGATGAGAAACTGTTAAACAGTATACACAGTTGTCAGTTTGATCCACCGAGGCATTAATTTTTTCTTAATCACACCCTTATAACAAAAACCTGCATATTTTTTCTTTTTAAAGAATGAAAATGAAAGCCAAGTTTCAACAGATGAAAGTGAGAACTCCAGGTCTCCTGGAAATAAATCAGATAACATCAAGCCCAAATCTGCTCCATGGAACTCTTTTCTCCCTCCACCACCCCCCATGCCAGGGCCAAGACTGGGACCAGGAAAGGTAAACCTTCTATGAAAGTTTTCCAGAAAATAGTTAATGTCGGGACATTTAACCTCTCTGTTAACTAATTTGTAGCTCTCCCATGAAACTTTTGTAGCTTAAATACACAAGAATTTTTTGAAAAGGAAATAAGATAATGATGCAAAATAGTTAATTTTTTAAAAAAATGTTAGACACTGCAGTGGATGCAACAAAATACTTTATATGAAAGATTTATCCAGTTAACTTTTGTGGAGTATTAGGTATTAGACTAATAATTAGCACACTTACTTAAGTTAGAAAGTATAATAATGCGCCGGACGCGGTAGCTCACGCCTGTAATCCCAGCACTTTGGGAGGCCAAGGTGGGCGGATCACAAGGTCAGGAGATCGAGACCATCCTGGCTAACACGGTGAAACCCCATCTCTACTGAAAATACAAAAAAATTTGCCGGGCGTGATGGCGGGCACCTGTAGTCCCAGCTACTCGGGAGGCTGAGGCAGGAGGATGGTGTGAACCCCGGAGGCAGAGCTTGCAGTGAGCCAAGATCGTGCCACTGCACTCCAACCTGGGCGACAGAATGAGACTCCATCTCAAACAAAAAAACAAAACAAAACAAAAAAAAGTGTAATAATAATTTATCATTAGCTGGATGATATGCTGTTGTTTCCCATGTCACCTGTATAAGATATGTAAAATAAGAACACATTATTTACATCTAATATAGATAAAATCCTGAGGCGCTCTCAGATTGTTTTGTAGAGTTCAAATGTAAATATTGTTTTCATTTATGGTCCTTTTGGTTATAAGTAACAGAAATCAACTCTAAAAAGATTTTTATTATAGGTTAGATTATGTCATGGAACCTTAAGGCTTGTCCCTTTCTAGTTCTTTTGTGTAAAGCGGTGATTTCTTCCATGGAGGGAATGGTATTTAGGCAATTTTTTTTTTTTTTCGAGATGGAGTCTTGCTCTGTCGCTCAGGCTGGAGTGCAGTGGCACCATTTCAGCTCACTGCAACTTCCACCTCCTGGGTTCAAGTGATTCTCCTGCTTCAGCCTCCCAAGTAGCTGAGATTACAGGCACCCGCCACCACACCCGGCTTATTTTGTATTTTTAGTAGAGATGGGGTTTCACCATGTTGGCCAGGCTGGTCTTGAACTCCTGACCTCAAGTGATCTCCCCACCTTGGCCTTCCAAAGTGCTAGGATTACAGGCGCCTAGCCTAGGCAGTCATTTTCAAAAAACAAGCATGACTCACCAAAAGTTTTAAGATTTTCTGTGATAATGTTCTTATTGAGGCTTACATTATATTACAGTTTCTTGAATCTAAAATGATGTACCCTCTTAGGATATATACATCATGCTTCATTGGTCTCAGGGGGCTGATTTTTATAAGGAGAGATTTGCTAGTTTTCACAATATGTCCTCTAAGTTGGCATGTATAGCTAAACAGGCTTTCATAAAAATATACAATTTAGTTAATGAAATTTGGGATATAGTCTTTTATGATTGAAATAATTTTGCTAAATAGACTGTCTCTGATTTATTAGGTAATCACCACTCTTATTTTGTTTTACTTCCTTAATGTCTACATAGAAAGGAAATGAGAAAAATCCAGAGGTTGTCATTTGACTTATGAGTCTGTTTGACTTCAGGATTTGGTACATGAAATTTCACTTAATCTTTTTGATATGTATAAAACAAATATTCTGGGTAATTATTTTTATCCTTTTGGTTTTGAGTCCTTTTTATTCCTATCATATTGAAATTGGTAAGTTAATTTTCCTTTGAAATATTCCTTATAGCCAGGTCTAAAATTCAATGGCCCACCACCGCCACCGCCACCACCACCACCCCACTTACTATCATGCTGGCTGCCTCCATTTCCTTCTGGACCACCAGTAAGTAAAAAAGAGTATAGGTTAGATTTTGCTTTCACATACAATTTGATAATTAGCAGAATAGAGGATTGTAAAATGTCATTGTAGAACATCCCTTGGGCCAGATTCTAATGGGTAGAAATTTGAACTAAACCTCTGGGTTTTGTTTGTTTTTAATGCCTTTCTGTTACCCAGATGCAGTGCTCTTGTAGTCCCAAGTCTAAGCTCTAGGTTGCCTTCTTTCCTGGCAGAAGTTGGTGTCTATGCCATAAGGAGGTAGTTCCTGTTAGAAGGGATTTAATTATACCTTATATAAGGAATTAGTGTTTGCCCTTCTAGGTATAGTTGGATGTTAGCTTCTGATGTAAACTGGATTTCTTTTTCTTTCTCTCTCTTTTTTTTTTTTTGTTTTGGAGGCAGAGTTTTGCCCTTGTACCCCAGGCTGGAGTGCAGTGGTGTGATCTCAGCTCACAGCAACCTCCGCCTCCTGGGTTCAAGCAATTCTGCCTCGGCCTCCCAAGTAGCTGGGATTACAGGCGACTGCCACCACACCCGGCTAATTTTTGTTTTATTAGTAGAGATGGGGTTTCACCATGTTGGCCAGACTGATCTTGAACTCCTGACCTCAGGTGATCCACCCGCCTTGGCCTCCCAAAGCGCTGGGATTACAGGCGTGAGCTGCCGCACCCAGCTGTAAACTGGATTTCTAATGGTAGATTTTTAGGTATTAACAATAGATAAAAAGATACTTTTTGGCATACTGTGTATTGGGATGGGGTTAGAACAGGTGTTCTACCCAAGACATTTACTTAAAATCGCCCTCGAAATGCTATGTGAGCTGTGTGTGTGTGTGTGTGTGTGTGTGTATTAAGGAAAAGCATGAAAGTATTTATGCTTGATTTTTTTTTTTTACTCATAGCTTCATAGTGGAACAGATACATAGTCTAAATCAAAATGTTTAAACTTTTTATGTCACTTGCTGTCTTTTCGTCCTCGTTAAATTTAATTTTGTTGGTCTTTTGTTGTTATTGGTTGGTTTTCTCCAAATGCTAGCTATGTTAAGAAATTTAAGGCCAGGTACAGTGGCTCATGCCTGTAATCCCGGCATTTTAGAAGGCTGAGGCAGGAGGATCACTTGAGCTCAGGAGTTTGAGACCAGTCTGGGCAACATAGCAAGACCTCGTCTTTGTTTAGGGGAAAAAAAAGAAATTTAAGTAGGAGATTATATAAGCAAAAATACAATTAATTTCCAGCATTCACTATATAATATAAATCTCCAGACTTTACTTTTTTGTTTACTGGATATAAACAATATCTTTTTCTGTCTCCAGATAATTCCCCCACCACCTCCCATATGTCCAGATTCTCTTGATGATGCTGATGCTTTGGGAAGTATGTTAATTTCATGGTACATGAGTGGCTATCATACTGGCTATTATATGGTAAGTAATCACTCAGCATCTTTTCCTGACAATTTTTTTGTAGTTATGTGACTTTGTTTTGTAAATTTATAAAATACTACTTGCTTCTCTCTTTATATTACTAAAAAATAAAAATAAAAAAATACAACTGTCTGAGGCTTAAATTACTCTTGCATTGTCCCTAAGTATAATTTTAGTTAATTTTAAAAAGCTTTCATGCTATTGTTAGATTATTTTGATTATACACTTTTGAATTGAAATTATACTTTTTCTAAATAATGTTTTAATCTCTGATTTGAAATTGATTGTAGGGAATGGAAAAGATGGGATAATTTTTCATAAATGAAAAATGAAATTCTTTTTTTTTTTTTTTTTTTTTGAGACGGAGTCTTGCTCTGTTGCCCAGGCTGGAGTGCAATGGCGTGATCTTGGCTCACAGCAAGCTCTGCCTCCTGGATTCACGCCATTCTCCTGCCTCAGCCTCAGAGGTAGCTGGGACTACAGGTGCCTGCCACCACGCCTGTCTAATTTTTTGTATTTTTTTGTAAAGACAGGGTTTCACTGTGTTAGCCAGGATGGTCTCAATCTCCTGACCCCGTGATCCACCCGCCTCGGCCTTCCAAGAGAAATGAAATTTTTTTAATGCACAAAGATCTGGGGTAATGTGTACCACATTGAACCTTGGGGAGTATGGCTTCAAACTTGTCACTTTATACGTTAGTCTCCTACGGACATGTTCTATTGTATTTTAGTCAGAACATTTAAAATTATTTTATTTTATTTTATTTTTTTTTTTTTTTTGAGACGGAGTCTCGCTCTGTCACCCAGGCTGGAGTACAGTGGCGCAGTCTCGGCTCACTGCAAGCTCCGCCTCCCGGGTTCACGCCATTCTCCTGCCTCAGCCTCTCCGAGTAGCTGGGACTACAGGCGCCCGCCACCACGCCCGGCTAATTTTTTTTTATTTTTAGTAGAGACGGGGTTTCACCGTGGTCTCGATCTCCTGACCTCGTGATCCACCCGCCTCGGCCTCCCAAAGTGCTGGGATTACAAGCGTGAGCCACCGCGCCCGGCCTAAAATTATTTTTAAAAGTAAGCTCTTGTGCCCTGCTAAAATTATGATGTGATATTGTAGGCACTTGTATTTTTAGTAAATTAATATAGAAGAAACAACTGACTTAAAGGTGTATGTTTTTAAATGTATCATCTGTGTGTGCCCCCATTAATATTCTTATTTAAAAGTTAAGGCCAGACATGGTGGCTTACAACTGTAATCCCAACAGTTTGTGAGGCCGAGGCAGGCAGATCACTTGAGGTCAGGAGTTTGAGACCAGCCTGGCCAACATGATGAAACCTTGTCTCTACTAAAAATACCAAAAAAAATTTAGCCAGGCATGGTGGCACATGCCTGTAATCCGAGCTACTTGGGAGGCTGTGGCAGGAAAATTGCTTTAATCTGGGAGGCAGAGGTTGCAGTGAGTTGAGATTGTGCCACTGCACTCCACCCTTGGTGACAGAGTGAGATTCCGTCTCAAAAAAAGAAAAAGGCCTGGCACGGTGGCTCACACCTATAATCCCAGTACTTTGGGAGGTAGAGGCAGGTGGATCACTTGAGGTTAGGAGTTCAGGACCAGCCTGGCCAACATGGTGACTACTCCATTTCTACTAAATACACAAAACTTAGCCCAGTGGCGGGCAGTTGTAATCCCAGCTACTTGAGAGGTTGAGGCAGGAGAATCACTTGAACCTGGGAGGCAGAGGTTGCAGTGAGCCAAGATCACACCGCTGCACTCTAGCCTGGCCAACAGAGTGAGAATTTGCGGAGGGAAAAAAAAGTCACGCTTCAGTTGTTGTAGTATAACCTTGGTATATTGTATGTATCATGAATTCCTCATTTTAATGACCAAAAAGTAATAAATCAACAGCTTGTAATTTGTTTTGAGATCAGTTATCTGACTGTAACACTGTAGGCTTTTGTGTTTTTTAAATTATGAAATATTTGAAAAAAATACATAATGTATATATAAAGTATTGGTATAATTTATGTTCTAAATAACTTTCTTGAGAAATAATTCACATGGTGTGCAGTTTACCTTTGAAAGTATACAAGTTGGCTGGGCACAATGGCTCACGCCTGTAATCCCAGCACTTTGGGAGGCCAGGGCAGGTGGATCACGAGGTCAGGAGATCGAGACCATCCTGGCTAACATGGTGAAACCCCGTCTCTACTAAAAGTACAAAAACAAATTAGCCGGGCATGTTGGCGGGCACCTTTTGTCCCAGCTGCTCGGGAGGCTGAGGCAGGAGAGTGGCGTGAACCCAGGAGGTGGAGCTTGCAGTGAGCCGAGATTGTGCCAGTGCACTCCAGCCTGGGCGACAGAGCGAGACTCTGTCTCAAAAAATAAAATAAAAAAGAAAGTATACAAGTCAGTGGTTTTGGTTTTCAGTTATGCAACCATCACTACAATTTAAGAACATTTTCATCACCCCAAAAAGAAACCCTGTTACCTTCATTTTCCCCAGCCCTAGGCAGTCAGTACACTTTCTGTCTCTATGAATTTGTCTATTTTAGATATTATATATAAACGGAATTATACGATATGTGGTCTTTTGTGTCTGGCTTCTTTCACTTAGCATGCTATTTTCAAGATTCATCCATGCTGTAGAATGCACCAGTACTGCATTCCTTCTTATTGCTGAATATTCTGTTGTTTGGTTATATCACATTTTATCCATTCATCAGTTCATGGACATTTAGGTTGTTTTTATTTTTGGGCTATAATGAATAATGTTGCTATGAACATTCGTTTGTGTTCTTTTTGTTTTTTTGGTTTTTTGGGTTTTTTTTGTTTTGTTTTTGTTTTTGAGACAGTCTTGCTCTGTCTCCTAAGCTGGAGTGCAGTGGCATGATCTTGGCTTACTGCAAGCTCTGCCTCCCGGGTTCACACCATTCTCCTGCCTCAGCCCGACAAGTAGCTGGGACTACAGGCGTGTGCCACCATGCACGGCTAATTTTTTGTATTTTTAGTAGAGATGGGGTTTCACCGTGTTAGCCAGGATGGTCTCGATCTCCTGACCTCGTGATCTGCCTGCCTAGGCCTCCCAAAGTGCTGGGATTACAGGCGTGAGCCACTGCACCTGGCCTTAAGTGTTTTTAATACGTCATTGCCTTAAGCTAACAATTCTTAACCTTTGTTCTACTGAAGCCACGTGGTTGAGATAGGCTCTGAGTCTAGCTTTTAACCTCTATCTTTTTGTCTTAGAAATCTAAGCAGAATGCAAATGACTAAGAATAATGTTGTTGAAATAACATAAAATAGGTTATAACTTTGATACTCATTAGTAACAAATCTTTCAATACATCTTACGGTCTGTTAGGTGTAGATTAGTAATGAAGTGGGAAGCCACTGCAAGCTAGTATACATGTAGGGAAAGATAGAAAGCATTGAAGCCAGAAGAGAGACAGAGGACATTTGGGCTAGATCTGACAAGAAAAACAAATGTTTTAGTATTAATTTTTGACTTTAAATTTTTTTTTTATTTAGTGAATACTGGTGTTTAATGGTCTCATTTTAATAAGTATGACACAGGTAGTTTAAGGTCATATATTTTATTTGATGAAAATAAGGTATAGGCCGGGCACGGTGGCTCACACCTGTAATCCCAGCACTTTGGGAGGCCGAGGCAGGCGGATCACCTGAGGTCGGGAGTTAGAGACTAGCCTCAACATGGAGAAACCCCGTCTCTACTAAAAAAAATACAAAATTAGGCGGGCGTGGTGGTGCATGCCTGTAATCCCAGCTACTCAGGAGGCTGAGGCAGGAGAATTGCTTGAACCTGGGAGGTGGAGGTTGCGGTGAGCCGAGATCACCTCATTGCACTCCAGCCTGGGCAACAAGAGCAAAACTCCATCTCAAAAAAAAAAAAATAAGGTATAAGCGGGCTCAGGAACATCATTGGACATACTGAAAGAAGAAAAATCAGCTGGGCGCAGTGGCTCACGCCGGTAATCCCAACAGTTTGGGAGGCCAAGGCAGGCGAATCACCTGAAGTCGGGAGTTCCAGATCAGCCTGACCAACATGGAGAAACCCTGTCTCTACTAAAAATACAAAACTAGCCGGGCATGGTGGCGCATGCCTGTAATCCCAGCTACTTGGGAGGCTGAGGCAGGAGAATTGCTTGAACCGAGAAGGCGGAGGTTGCGGTGAGCCAAGATTGCACCATTGCACTCCAGCCTGGGCAACAAGAGCGAAACTCCGTCTCAAAAAAAAAAGGAAGAAAAATATTTTTTTAAATTAATTAGTTTATTTATTTTTTAAGATGGAGTTTTGCCCTGTCACCCAGGCTGGGGTGCAATGGTGCAATCTCGGCTCACTGCAACCTCCGCCTCCTGGGTTCAAGTGATTCTCCTGCCTCAGCTTCCCGAGTAGCTGTGATTACAGCCATATGCCACCACGCCCAGCCAGTTTTGTGTTTTGTTTTGTTTTTTGTTTTTTTTTTTTGAGAGGGTGTCTTGCTCTGTCCCCCAAGCTGGAGTGCAGCGGCGCGATCTTGGCTCACTGCAAGCTCTGCCTCCCAGGTTCACACCATTCTCTTGCCTCAGCCTCCCGAGTAGCTGGGACTACAGGTGCCCGCCACCACACCCGGCTAATTTTTTTGTGTTTTTAGTAGAGATGGGGTTTCACTGTGTTAGCCAGGATGGTCTCGATCTCCTGACCTTTTGATCCACCCGCCTCAGCCTCCCCAAGTGCTGGGATTATAGGCGTGAGCCACTGTGCCCGGCCTAGTCTTGTATTTTTAGTAGAGTCGGGATTTCTCCATGTTGGTCAGGCTGTTCTCCAAATCCGACCTCAGGTGATCCGCCCGCCTTGGCCTCCAAAAGTGCAAGGCAAGGCATTACAGGCATGAGCCACTGTGACCGGCAATGTTTTTAAATTTTTTACATTTAAATTTTATTTTTTAGAGACCAGGTCTCACTCTATTGCTCAGGCTGGAGTGCAAGGGCACATTCACAGCTCACTGCAGCCTTGACCTCCAGGGCTCAAGCAGTCCTCTCACCTCAGTTTCCCGAGTAGCTGGGACTACAGTGATAATGCCACTGCACCTGGCTAATTTTTATTTTTATTTATTTATTTTTTTTTGAGACAGAGTCTTGCTCTGTCACCCAGGCTGGAGTGCAGTGGTGTAAATCTCAGCTCACTGCAGCCTCCGCCTCCTGGGTTCAAGTGATTCTCCTGCCTCAACCTCCCAAGTAGCTGGGATTAGAGGTCCCCACCACCATGCCTGGCTAATTTTTTGTACTTTCAGTAGAAACGGGGTTTTGCCATGTTGGCCAGGCTGTTCTCGAACTCCTGAGCTCAGGTGATCCAACTGTCTCGGCCTCCCAAAGTGCTGGGATTACAGGCGTGAGCCACTGTGCCTAGCATGAGCCACCACGCCGGCCTAATTTTTAAATTTTTTGTAGAGACAGGGTCTCATTATGTTGCCCAGGGTGGTGTCAAGCTCCAGGTCTCAAGTGATCCCCCTACCTCCGCCTCCCAAAGTTGTGGGATTGTAGGCATGAGCCACTGCAAGAAAACCTTAACTGCAGCCTAATAATTGTTTTCTTTGGGATAACTTTTAAAGTACATTAAAAGACTATCAACTTAATTTCTGATCATATTTTGTTGAATAAAATAAGTAAAATGTCTTGTGAAACAAAATGCTTTTTAACATCCATATAAAGCTATCTATATATAGCTATCTATATCTATATAGCTATTTTTTTTAACTTCCTTTATTTTCCTTACAGGGTTTTAGACAAAATCAAAAAGAAGGAAGGTGCTCACATTCCTTAAATTAAGGAGTAAGTCTGCCAGCATTATGAAAGTGAATCTTACTTTTGTAAAACTTTATGGTTTGTGGAAAACAAATGTTTTTGAACATTTAAAAAGTTCAGATGTTAGAAAGTTGAAAGGTTAATGTAAAACAATCAATATTAAAGAATTTTGATGCCAAAACTATTAGATAAAAGGTTAATCTACATCCCTACTAGAATTCTCATACTTAACTGGTTGGTTGTGTGGAAGAAACATACTTTCACAATAAAGAGCTTTAGGATATGATGCCATTTTATATCACTAGTAGGCAGACCAGCAGACTTTTTTTTATTGTGATATGGGATAACCTAGGCATACTGCACTGTACACTCTGACATATGAAGTGCTCTAGTCAAGTTTAACTGGTGTCCACAGAGGACATGGTTTAACTGGAATTCGTCAAGCCTCTGGTTCTAATTTCTCATTTGCAGGAAATGCTGGCATAGAGCAGCACTAAATGACACCACTAAAGAAACGATCAGACAGATCTGGAATGTGAAGCGTTATAGAAGATAACTGGCCTCATTTCTTCAAAATATCAAGTGTTGGGAAAGAAAAAAGGAAGTGGAATGGGTAACTCTTCTTGATTAAAAGTTATGTAATAACCAAATGCAATGTGAAATATTTTACTGGACTCTATTTTGAAAAACCATCTGTAAAAGACTGAGGTGGGGGTGGGAGGCCAGCACGGTGGTGAGGCAGTTGAGAAAATTTGAATGTGGATTAGATTTTGAATGATATTGGATAATTATTGGTAATTTTATGAGCTGTGAGAAGGGTGTTGTAGTTTATAAAAGACTGTCTTAATTTGCATACTTAAGCATTTAGGAATGAAGTGTTAGAGTGTCTTAAAATGTTTCAAATGGTTTAACAAAATGTATGTGAGGCGTATGTGGCAAAATGTTACAGAATCTAACTGGTGGACATGGCTGTTCATTGTACTGTTTTTTTCTATCTTCTATATGTTTAAAAGTATATAATAAAAATATTTAATTTTTTTTTAAATTAGCTGTATCTGTGATTGTATTTCTTTTTTGCATATTATTTTGCCCTTTGGCCCATATTTTGATATGGATGCCACCATAGCATTTTGTGTATGTGCATGTGTATTCCCACTTAATGTCACATTTTTCATGTCTTTACATATTCTTATTTTTGTTTGTTTTTGAGACAGAGTCTCGCTCTGCTGCCCACGCTGGAGTGCAGTGGTGCAATCTCAGCTCACTGCAACCTCTGCTATCCGGGTTCAAGCGGTTCTCGTGCCTCACCCACGTGAGTAGTTGGGATTACAGGCATGTGGCACCATGCCCCACTAAGTTTTGTATTTTTAGTAGAGATGGAGTTTCACCATGTTGGCCAGGCTGGTCTCAAACTCCTGCCCTCAAGTGATTCGACCACCCTGGCCTCCCAAAGTGCTGGGATTACAGCCGTGAGCCACCGCACACGGCCTCTCTATTTATTTCTATACATAGCTTTTCACATTATATTATGTTTATATATTGTTTATATCTGTATTTCCTCTTTCATTAGAGAAAAGGTAGTACATCTTATTCTTCATGGTGTCTACAATATCTGGCAGTTTTTGGAAGTCAAGCGTGAGCTTAGAGCATAGACTGGTGGGATTGTCAAAGAAGAGGGCAACTGGAAGAGAACTGTCAGTTATTTTTGGATCAGTCTTTAATTCATCATGACGGGTTAGGCATTAGTTGTATTTCTTGCTAATTTTGAAGAAGACTTATTAACAAATCCTACATTAGGTAAATGGTTTTGAAAGTTGAGTTAATCATAATGGTGTTTGACCTAGGACTATTTTTAGGCCCTATTTATCTTAATATCGAATAATGAAGCAGCTTCCCCCTTAGATATAGACAGAAAACATCAAAGCCACCACACTACCTGGCTGGATTTATCCTAGTAATAAAATCAAAACTGAGCTAGTTCTCTGGCTTTCATTGTAATAATTGTCCTTGTGGTTGTAAGGAATCTAGATGAAAATTACATGGTCTGTTCTACAGCCACAGCTGTACCTACGTTCAGAAGACAGACAAAAGTTGCTGTGTTTGAAGAGATCCTTCATTAAGGGATCAGACAGAGATTACTTTGAGACATATTCTAAGTTTAACTTTTCTGCAGGGTTGCCATTAACAGAAATAAACTACACAGTTAATTTCTTTTTGTTTTTGATACAGTCTAACTCTCACCCAAGCTGGAGTGCAGTGGCGCAATTTCAGCTCACTGCAACCTCTGCCTCCCAGGTTCAAGCAATTCTCCTGCCTCAGCCTCCCGAGCAGCTGGGACTACAGGCATGTGCCACTATGCCTGGCTAATTTTTGTATTTTTAGTAGTAGAGACGTGGTTTCGCCACGTTGGCCAGGCTGGTCTGGAACTCCTGACCCCAGGTAATCCACCTGCCTCGGCCTCCCAAAGTGCTGGGATTACAAGCTTGAGCCACTACGCCTGACCCAGAGTTAACTTTTTAAAAAAGTTTTTATGAACTTAAGTCTTGTGATGTTTGAAATAATGGATTCAATTTAGACATCAAATTCCAGAAGTTACTAAGAGCAGCTGGGCGCGGCAGCTCACACCTGTAATCCCAGCACTTTGGGAGGCCGAGGCGGGTGGATCACCTGAGATCAGGAGTTCCAGACCAGCCTGGCCAACATAGTAAAACCCTGTCTCTACTAAAAATACAAAAATTAGCCCGGCATGGTGGCACGCCCTGTAGTCCCAGCTACTTGGGAGGCTGAGGCAGGAGAATTGCTTGAACCCGGGAGGTGGAGGTTGTGGTGAGCCGAGATTGTGCCGCTGTACTCAAGCCTGGGCTAAAAAGCGAGACTCCGTCTCAAAAAAAAAAAAAAAAAAAACACGTTACTAAGAGCAACTCTGGGCCAGGCACGGTGGCTTACACCTGTAATCCCAGCATTTTGGGAGGACGAGACAGGCGGATCACTTGAGCCCAGGAGTTCAAGACCAGCATAAGCAACAACGCAAAACCCCTGACTCTACAAAACATGAAAGAATTAGCAAGGCATGGTGGTGCATGCCTGTAGTCCCAGCTACTGGAGAGGCTGAGGCAAAAGGATCACTTGAGTACAGGAGGTTGAGGCTGTGTAATGAGCCGTGTTCACACCATTGCACTTCAGCCTGGGCAACAGACTGAGACCCTGTCTCAAAAAAAAAAACCAAACCAAAGCAACAAACAAAAAACAAGAGCAACTCTGCTTCTGTACACTTTTTTTTTTTTTTGGTAGTGACATGATCTATGTTGCCCAAGCTGGTCTCGAGTTCCTGGGTTCAAGCCATTCTCCCACCTCGGGCTCCCAAAGTGCTAGGATTACAGGCATGAATCACCATGCCCAGCCCTTCTGTACACTTTTCACAGTGTACCCTTTTGTGTTTTTTAAAATGTTTGTGTATACATTTATTGTGAATTTTTAAAAAACATGTAATTAAGGCCAGGCATGGTGGCTCATACCTGTAATCCTAGCACTTTGAGAGGCTGAGGTGGGTGGATCACCTGAGGTCGGTAGTTCGAGACCAGCCTGGCCCAACATGGTGAAACCCCATCTCTACTAAAAATACAAAAAAAAAATTAGCTCGGCATGGTGGTGGGCGCCTGTGATCCCAGCTACTGGAGAGGCTGAAGCATGAGAATCACTTGAACCCAGGAGGCGGAGGTTGCAGTGAGCCAAGATCGTGCCACTACACTCCAGCCTGGGTGACTCAGTGACTGTCTCAAAAAGAAAAAAAGTAATTAAGTTCTGTCATGATATATCATCATTACCCTTTTTGAACTTTTAAAATTTTTTATCTTTAGAGGTAATTCATATAATGTTCTTCAATAGATAAGTGCTTTTCTGTCAATATATCTTGGAGAACACACCATATCAGTATTTAAAACTCTCATTCTTCCTATTTCTCCACATCCTCTCCAGCACCCGTTGTTTCCTGACTTTTTAATGATTGCCATTCTAACTGGTGTGAGATGGTATCTTATTGTGGTTTTGATTTGCATTTCTCTGATGGCCAGTGATGGTGAGCATTTTTTCATGTGTTTTTTAGCTGCATAAATGTCTTCTTTTGAGAAGTGTCTGTTCATGTCCTTCGCCCACTTTTTGATGGGGTTGTCTGTTTTTTTCTTGTAAATTTGTTTGAGTTCATTGTAGATTCTGGATATTAGCCCTTTGTCAGATGAGTAGATTGCAAAAATTTTCTCCCATTTTGTAGGTTGCCTGTTCACTCTGATGGTAGTTTCTTTTGCTGTGCAGAAGCTCTTTAGTTTAATTAGATCCCAGTTTTGGCTTTTGTTGCCGTTGCTTTTGGTGTTTTAGACATGAAGTCCTTGCCCATGCCTATGTCCTGAATGGTAATGCCTAGGTTTTCTTCTAGGGTTTTTATGGTTTTAGGTCTAACATTTAAGTCTTTAATCCATCTTGAATTAATTTTTGTATAAGGTGTAAGGAAGGGATCCAGTTTCAGCTTTCTACATATGGCTAGCCAGTTTCCCAGCACCATTTATTAAATAGGGAATCCTTTCCCCATTGCTTGTTTTTCTCAGGTTTGTCAAAGATCAGATAGTTGTAGATATGCGGCGTTATTTCTGAGGGCTCTGTTCTGTTCCATTGGTCTATATCTCTGTTTTGGTACCAGTACCATGCTGTTTTGGTTACTGTAGCCTTGTAGTATAGTTTGAAGTCAGGTAGCGTGATGCCTCCAGCTTTGTTCTTTTGGCTTAGGATTGACTTGGCGATGCGGGCTCTTTTTTGGTTCCATATGAACTTTAAAGTAGTTTTTTCCAATTCTGTGAAGAAAGTCATTGGTAGCTTGATGGGGATGGCATTGAATCTGTAAATTACCTTGGGCAGTATGGCCATTTTCACGATATTGATTCTTCCTACCCATGAGCATGGAATGTTCTTCCATTTGTTTGTATCCTCTTTTATTTCATTGAGCAGTGGTTTGTAGTTCTCCTTGAAGAGGTCCTTCACATCCCTTGTAAGTTGGATTCCTAGGTATTTTATTCTCTTTGAAGCAATTGTGAATGGGAGTTCACTCATGATTTGGCTCTCTGTTTGTCTGTGGGTGGTGTATAAGAATGCTTGTGATTTTTGTACATTGATTTTGTATCCTGAGACTTTGCTGAAGTTGCTTATCAGCTTAAGGAGATTTTGGGCTGAGACAATGGGGTTTTCTAGATATACAATCATGTAATCTGCAAACAGGGACAATTTGGCTTCCTCTTTTCCTAATTGAATACCCGTTATTTCTTTCTCCTGCCTAATTGCCCTGGCCAGAACTTCCAACACTATGTTGAATAGGAGTGGTGAGAGAGGGCATCCCTGTCTTGTGCGTGTTTTCAAAGGGAATGCTTCCAGTTTTTGCCCATTCAGTATGATATTGGCTGTGGGTTTGTCATAGATAGCTCTTATTATTTTGAGATACGTCCCATCAGTACCTCATTTATTGAGAGTTTTTAGCATGAGGGATTGTTGAATTTTGTCAAAGGCCTTTTCTGCATCTATTGAGATAATCATGTGGTTTTTGTCTTTGGTTCTGTTTATATGCTGGATTACATTTATTGATTTGCGTATGTTGAACCAGCCTTGCATCCCAGGGATGAAGCCCACTTGATCATGCTGGATAAGCTTTTTGATGTGCTGCTGGATTCGGTTTGCCAGTATTTTATTGATGATTTTTGCATCAATGTTCATCAAGGATATTAGTCTAAAATTCTCTTTTTTGGTTGTGTCTCTGCCTGGCTTTGGTATCAGGATGATGCTGGCCTCATAAAATGAGTTAGGGAGGATTCCCTCTTTTTCTATTGATTGGAATAATTTCAGAAGGAATGGTACCAGTTCCTCCTTGTACCTCTGGTAGAATTCGGCTGTGAATCCATCTGGTCGTGGACTCTTTTTGGTTGGTAAGCTATTGATTATTGCCACAATTTCAGAGCCTGTTATTGGTCCATTTAGAGATTCAACTTCTTCCTGGTTTAGTCTTGGGAGGGTGTATGTGTCGAGGAATTTATCCATTTCTTCTAGATTTTCTAGTTTATTTGCGTAGAAGTGTTTATAGTATTCTCTGATGGTAGTTTGTATTTCTGTGGGATCGGTGGTGATATCCCCTTTATCATTTTTTATTGCGTCTATTTGATTCTTCTCTCTTTTCTTCTTTATTAGTCTTGCTAGCGGTCTATCAATTTTGTTGATCCTTTCCAAAAACCAGCTCCTGGATTAATTTTTTGAAGGGTTTTTTGTGTCTCTATTTCCTTCAGCTCTGCTCTGATTTTAGTTATTTCTTGCCTTCTGCTAGCTTTTGAATGTGTTTGCTCTTGCTTTTCTAGTTCTTTTAATTGTGATGTTAGGGTGTCAATTTTGGATCTTTCCTGCTTTCTCTTGTGGGCATTTAGTGCTATAAATTTCCCTCTACACACTGCTTTGAATGTGTCCCAGAAATTCTGGTATGTTGTGTCTTTGTTCTCGTTGGTTTCAAAGAACATCTTTATTTCTGCCTTCATTTCGTTATGTACCCAGTAGTCATTCAGGAGCAGGTTGTTCAGTTTCCATGTAGTTGAGTGGTTTTGAGTGAGTTTCTTATTCCTGAGTTCTAGTTTGATTGCACTGTGGTCTGAGAGACAGTTTGTTATAATTTCTGTTCTTTTACGTTTGCTGAGGAGAGCTTTACTTCCAACTATGTGGTCAATTTTGGAATAGGTGTGGTGTGGTGCTGAAAAAAATGTATATTCTGTTGATGTGGGGTGGAGAGTTCTGTAAACTGCTTCAACCACTGTGGAAGTCAGTGTGGCGATTCCTCAGGGATCTAGAACTAGAAATACCATTTGACCCAGCCATCCCATTACTGGGTATATACCCAAAGGACTATAAATCATGCTGCTATGAAGACACATGCACACGTATGTTTATTGCGGCACTATTCACAATAGCAAAGACTTGGAACCAACCCAAACGTCCAACAATGATAGACTGGATTAAGAAAATATGGCACATATACACCATGGAATACTATGCAACCATAAGAAATGATGAGTTCATGTCCTTTGTAGGGACATGGATGAAATTGGAAATCATCATTCTCAGTAAACTATCGCAAGGACAAAAAACCAAACACCGCATGTTCTCACTCATAGGTGGGAATTGAACAATGAGAACACATGGACACAGGAAGGGGAACATCACACTCTTGGGACTGTTGTGGGGTGGGGGGAGTGGGGAGGGATAGCATTAGGAGATATACCTAATGCTAAATGAGGAGTTAATTGGTGCAGCACACCAGCATGGCACATGTATACATATGTAACTAACCTGCACATTGTGCACATGTACCCTAAAACTTAAAGTATAATAATAAAATAAAATAAGAAAAATGCAAAAATTAAAAATTTAAAAAAAAGCTCTCATTCTTTTAAGCACTTACAGGATATTCTTACAGATGTGTACCACGCTTAATGAATTGAGCTCTTGTGGATGAGAGTTTAATTTGTTTCTAATCATTTGTTATTTAATAGTACAGTCAGCATCTTTAGGATTAAGTATCTAGAATTAGAACTACTGTGTTGAAGAGGCTATTGCATTTAAATTGTTTTTTTTTTTTTTTTGATACGGAGTCTTGCTCTGTTGCCCAGGCTGGAGTGCAATGGCGTGATCTCAGCTCACCGCAACCTCCGCCTCCCAGGTTCAAGCAGTGCTCCTGCCTCAGCCTCCTGAGTAGCTAGGATTACAGGCACACGCCACCATGCCCGGCTAATTTTTGTATTTTTTTAGTAGAGACGGGGTTTCACCATGTTGGCCAGGCTGATCTTGAACTCCTGACCTTGTGATCTGCTCGCCTTGGCCTCCCAAAGTGCTGGGATTACAGGCATGAGCCACCGTGCCCGACCTACATTTAAATTTTAAACAAAAGTTTGCTAAATTGTTTTCAGTAGAGGTTATATTAATCTATATTTATACCAACATGGAGAGTTTGTTTCCTGCAAAATAGCCAATAATTTATCAAACCTTTGAATCTTTGTCAATTGAATAGTTAAAAATGATTATCTCATATTTGTACATTTTTATCTTATTGTGAAGTTCAGCACCTTTTCATGTGTTTAAGAACTTTTAATTTTCTGTTGTTTATATGGTCTTCCCATTACCATTTTAACTATTTGTTTTTATTTTCAGAGTTTTTGCTTATAAAATTTTATTTACAGTCAATTCTCTTTATTTGTAGAATCTGTATTTGTAAAGGCACCTACTTGCTAAAATTTATTTGTAACCTAACATCAATACTCATGGCAGTTTCATGGTTTTTCATGGACATACACAGAGGTGAAAAATTTGAGAACCTTACCCAGATATTCCCAGCTGGGGTTGAACAGTGCTCAGTTTTTTGTGTAGCTTTCTTACTATAAACAAGTGTCCTTTTTGAAAGCAGTTTATATAGTTCTACATTTTTCACATTTTTGTGCCTTCTGTTTGTGATTTTACTGTTTAAAGTGATTCCCAAGCATTGTGCTGAAGTGCTATATAGTGGTATTCCAAGGTGCATGCGGGCTGTGAGGTGCCTTAGAGAATACATGTGTTAGATAACCTTTGTTTAGTCATGAGTTATAGTGCTGTTGAGTGGGAGTTAGATGATGATGAGTCATCACTATTTATTATTATATTTTTTGAGATGGAGTCTCACTCTGTCACCCAGGCTGGAGTGCAATGGCATAATCTCGGCTCACTGCAACCTCCTCCTCCCGGGTTCAAACGATTCTCCTGCCTCAGTCTTCCCAGTAGCTGGGATTATAGGCACCCGCCACTGCACCCAGCGTAATTTTTGTATTTTTAGTAGAGGTGGGGTTTTACCATGTTGGGTAGGCCAGTCTTGAACTCCTGACCTCAAGTGATCCACCCACCTTGGCATCCCAGAGTGCTGGGATTACAGATATGAGCCACCATGCCAGGTCTATATTTATTAAATAATGTGTCTTTAAACAGAAACAGATATAAAACAAGCTTACGTATTTATAAGTTGGTGAAAATGTGACCAAAGGCTTACAAGAACCTAACCCTGTATTTCTGTTAGGAGCAATGGCTCAGTATTCACTAATTTGCGTGTTTGTGGCAACTTCATAGAACATAACTACCTCAAGTAATGAGAATTGACTGCATTCTTTTTCAAGTCATTTTATAAACAATTTACAGAAGAATAAAGGGATGGTGAAAATTAACTTTGTTAGCAATTTTAATGAGAATCCAAATATAGGAGACCCACATTTTTTCCCATATTTTCCCAGTTTTGAATGTTTATGTATACCTAAAAGGCATTACATCCTTTGAAAGCAGCTGTCATTATGCATGAATCTGGAACATACCTACCTTTAAATACGGATTTTGGATTTCAAATGCATCTCTACTATGTTCTACCTTATTATTTGTATTCTTCATGAACTCACTTTGTCAAAATGCAATACTTTTTGTTTTTTAATTTATTTTTATTTTTTGTAGAAATAGGGTCTCACTGTGTTGCCCAGGCTGGCCTTGAACACCTGGCCTCAAGTGATCTTCCTGCCTTCCAAAGTGCTGGGGACGGTAGGCATGAGCCACCACACCTGTCCAAACTGCAATACTTCTGAAAACTTTAGGGCTCATAGTTTTGTTGAAGTGATAGATGATGGCTATATTCTTTGTTACATAACAGCAAAACATTTTTGTTTTTACATTTATAAATACCAATTAGAATGACTTTCAGTGGATTGGTTTTCATTTTTCACATCATCTTTACCTTCCTGTTACTTTGTGTACATATCTGTCTTTCATACTTGTCCACTTACAAACTTTTTCAAGTAAATTCTGGTGTTACAAGCATAAAAGATGAAAGAACGTTGTCACATGGTCACTTGTCCTTTTAGCAATTATGCGATGATTCAACTGTTCTAGGTACAACTAGAGGGAGAGTATCCCAGGCAAGGGAGATAACAAATAGAAAGGCCCTAAGACACAAGTGTATTTAACATGTTTGGGGAACAACAAGGAGTTAATCGTGGCTGGAGTGGAAGTAAGGAGGAGAGATTAAGGAGATGGAGCTAAGAGAGGTAGTCAAGGGCCAGGCCATATGTCAGCGATAGTAAGGTCTTCAGCATTTACTTTTTTAAGCTGGGAGTCCATGGAAAGGTTTTGAACCCAAGGTATAGCATGATCTGACTTACAGAAAGAGACTTCTGATTGCTGTGTTGAAAATACACCATAGGTTTGAAGGGAGGAAACAGGCTGACTAGTTAGAGCCAGTGTGGGTAGTGGTGGTTGGATCTGAGTATATTTTCCAAGTGGAGCCACCAGGATTTTTCAGTAGATTGATTACATGTGGTGTATGAAAGAGGAGTGTCAAGTGTAACTCCGAGATTTTTGGCTTATGCAACTGGAAAAATAAAGTTAGAATTTAATGAGATGGAGGTCTGCATAAGGAGTACTTTTGTGGCAGGAAAGAAATTGGGTTTTGAACATGTGAAAATTGAGATGCCCATTAGTAGAAGTTGGATGTGAATAAAGAGTCCAGGCCAGGTGCAATGCCTCATGCCTGTAATCTCAGCACTTTGGGAGGCCAAGGCAGGAGAATCATGTGAGCCCAGGAGTTCAAGACCAGACTGGGCAACAAAGTGAGACCCCGTCTATATTATAAAATAAAAAAATAGTTCAGAGGAGAGGTCTGGGCTAGAGATGGAAATGTAGAAGTTAGTAAATTTAAAGCTGTTGAACTAGAGGAGATAGCTGAGGAAGTGCATTCAAATAGAGAAGATGTCAGAGGAGAACTTTGGGGTTCTCTCAGTGGTTAGAGATAGGATATGAGGAAAAACAGTGCAGGAGACTAAGGAGGAGCTCTCATTGAGTTAGGAAAATCAAGAGGGATGCCCTGGAAGCCAAATGAAGGCAGTGTTTTGAGGAAGAGGGGTGATGGGCCATGTGAAAGCCAATAGGTCACATGCTGCTAATGGGTCAACTAAAGTGAGGACTGAGAAGTATTCACCAATTTAGCAATGTGGAGCTCATTGGTGACCCTCATAAGAGCTGTGTTGGTGGAATGGAGGAGGTAAAATCCTGGAGGGAGAGAACATAAGAATGAGAGAACAGTTGACAGTGCATGTAAACAACTCTTTCACGGAACTTTGTATTTCTGAATTTTTGTTTATTTGGCTATTAATAAAATCATATCTGATATAGTTTTATTTTAGTAAGGTTTGTTTTTGTGGGACTTCAGTTGTGTATACACATATAATATGTGTGTGTATGTATGTGCGTATGGTGTTTTGATGTAAAATTTATTATTGTGGGTCATGGTTAAAAAAAAAGCTTGAGAATGAGGAGTTAGATCAAGAAATAGAAGGAAAGTTGACATAAGAAGTTGTGGATGTAGGAGATTCTACCATGTAGACACAGTGGAAGGATTTAGGGAGTTGGAGCAGGTTGGGATATGTGATCAGAAAGCGGGAGTTTAGCTCTCTCACTTGCCCCTGCTTTTACCATGTGATGTGTCTGCTACCCCTTCACCTTCCACCATGACTGTAAGCTTCCTGAGGTCTCCCTAGAAGCCAAGCAGATGCCAGCACCATGCTTCCTGTAAAGCCTGCAGAACCATGAGCCAATTAAACCTCTTTGTAAATTACCCAGTTTGAGGTATTTCTTTATAGCAGTGCAAGAATGCCCCAATACAGAAAATTGGTACCGAGAAGTTGGGCATTGCTATAAAGATACCTGAAAATGTGGAAACAGCTTTGGAACTGGGTAATGAGTAGTGGTTGGAAGAGTTTACAGGGCTCAGAAGAAGACAGGAAAATGAGGGTAAGTTTCAAACTTTTTTTTTTTTTTTTTTTTGAGACGGAGTCTTGCTCTGTCGCCCAGGCTGGAGTGCAGTGGCGTGATCTTGGCTCACTGCAACCTCTGCCTCCCGGGTTCAAGTGATTTTCTGCCTCAGCTTCCCAAGCAGCTGGGGTTACAGGCATGCACCACCATGCCTGGCTAATATTTTTGTATTTTTAGTAAGGATGGGGTTTCACCATGTTGGCCAGGCTGGTCTCGAACTCCTGACCTCAAGTGATTCACCCACCTCGACCTCCCAAAGTGCTAGGTTTACAGGCGTGAGCCACTGCTCCCGGCAAGTTTGGAACTTCTTAGAGACTAGATAAGTGGTTGTGACCAAAATGCTGATGGTGATAGGGACAGTGAAGTCCAGGTTGACAAGGTCTCAAAAGGAAACGAATTTATTGGGAACTGGAGCAAAAGTCACACGTTATGCCTTAGCAAATAACTTGGCTGCATTCTGCTTGTGTCCTAGGGATCTGTGGAAGTTTGAACTTAAAAACTATGACCTAGCGTATGTGGCAGAAGAAATTTCTAAGCAGCAAAGCATTCAAGATGTGGCCTTCTGCTACTAACAGCCTGTGCTCAGATGTGGGGGCAAATGAATGACTTAAATTTGGAACTTACATTTAAACAGGAAGCAGAGCCTAAAAGTTGGGAAATTTTGCAGCCTAGCCAGGTGGTAAAAAAAAAAACCATTTTCTCCAAGGAATTCAAGCAGGCTGTGGAGCAACCACTTGCTGATATTTGCATAACTGAAAGGGATCCAAGTGGTAATATCCAAGACAATGGGGAAAAGGCCTCAAAGGCATTTCAGAGACCTATGGGGCAGCCCCTCCTGTCATAGGCCCTGAAGCCAAGGAAGACTGAATATTTTCCTGGGCTGAGCCCAGGGCCCTGTTGCCCTGTGCAGCCTCAGAACACTGCTCCCTGCATCCAGATGGCTCCAACTCCAGCAGGGGCTCAAAGGGGCCTAGGTACAGCTTGGGCTGTTACTTTGGAGGGCATAAGCCATAGCCTTCACAGCTTCCATTAGGTGGTAAGCCTGCAGGCACACAGAATGCAAAAATGGTGAATTCTTGGTAGCCTCTGCCTGGATTTCAGAGGATGTATGGAAAAGCCTGGGTGTCCAAGCAGAACCCTGCTGCAGGAGCAGAGCCCTCACAGAGAGCCTCTACTAGGGCAGCGTGGAGGGGAAATGTGGGGTTAAAGGCCCCACGCAGAGTCCCTACTGGGGCACTGCCTAGTGGAGCTGTGAGAAGAGGGCTACTGTTCTCCAGAATGGTAGAGCCACTGGCAGCTTGTACCCTGCACTTGGAAAAGCCACAGACACTCAACCCAGCCTGTGACAGCAGGCTGAACTCTGCAAAGCTATAGGAGCAGAGCTGCCCAAGGCCTTGGGAGCCCAACCCTCATATCAGCGTGCCACATGGAAACCAAGGAGATCATTGTGGAGTTTCATGATTTAATGACTGCCATGCTGGGTTTTGAACTTGCATGGGGCCTATAGCCCCCTTTTTTGGCAGGTTTTTCCCTAATGGGAATATTTCCCCAATCCCTGAACCCTGATTGTATGTTGGAAGTAAATAATTTGTTTTTTATTTTATAGGCTCATAGGTGGCAGGGATTTGCCTTGTCTCAGATGAGACTTTGGATTCCTGAGTTAATGCTGGAATGAGTTAAGACTTTGCGGCACTGTTGGGAAGGCATGGTTGTATTTTGCATTGTGAAAAGGACATAAGATTTGGGAGGGGCCAGAGGTGGAATGATGTGGTTTGGATATTTATCTCTACTTATGTTGAATTTTATCCCGAGTGTTGGAGATGGGGCATGGTGGGAGGTGTTTGGATCATGGGGGCAGATCCCTCATGGCTTGGTGTTACCTTTGTGTTGCTACTGAGTTCTCGTGAGATCTGGTCATTTAAAAGTGTATGAAACCTGCCCCCTGCCCCCGCACTGTCTCTCACTTGTTTCTGCTTTCATCATGTGACATGTGTGCTCACCTTCTGCCATGATTTTAGTTTCCTGAGGCCTCCCTAAAAGCCGAGCAGATGCCAGCACCATGCTTCCTGTAAAGCCTGCAGAACCGTGAGTCAACTAAACCTCTTTTCTTTATGAAAGAAAAGGAAGGAAGGGAGAGAGGGAAGGAGAAAAAGAGAGAGGGAGAGATGGATGGAGGAAGGGAGGGAGGGCTTACAACCATGAGGACAGTTTTTAGGTCAATGAGGGATGACTTGGGAGTCCTATGAAGACTGATGTAAACTAGAATAAAGGGCATGATGAGCTTATGATTCAAAAGTATTTTGTCATAGAAATAGTTTGTTTTCTGTAAAAGAACACAGTAAATATTTTAGCTTTGTAGGCCACTGAGTCTCTGTTGCTTTAAAAAATGTGAAAACCATTCTTAGCTTGAGGGCTGGACAGTCCAGGGCCATACTTTACTGACCGCTGCTTGAACTAAACGCTGTTAGAAGCAGCTCTGGAAAAATAATTTGCATGGAATCTTATGATTTTTTTTTTTTTTTTTTTTTTTTTGAGGCAGAATTTTGCTCTTGTTGCCCAGGCTAGAGTGCAATAGCGCGTTCTTGGCTCACTGCAACCTCCGCCTCCTGGGTTCAAGCAATTCTCCTGCCTCAGCCTCCCGAGTAGCTGGGATTACAGGAAGGCACCACCATGCGTGGCTAATTTTGTATTTTTAGTAGAGACAAGGTTTCTCCATGTTGGTCAGGCTGGTCTCGAACTCCCAACCTCAGGTGATCCACCCGCCTCGGCCTCCCAAAGTGCTGGGATTACCAGCGTGAGCCACTGCACCTGGTCAAGTATCATGGTTTTTTAATAGTATGCACACATGGGACAAAACTCAACTGGTATAAAAGGGTATGCAGGAGAAAAAAAGCAAACTTCCCTCTCTCCCTTTTCTGTCCACCAGCCATCCTGTTCTCCTCCCTAAACTCAATTATGGTTGCCTGTTTTTTATATAAGTTTTCCATGAATTTATAAATACATCACGTGCATATATCCTGTCAGTCAATATTAAGAAATTACTAGGTTATTTTGTGTTTATGTGTGCACTATTAGATTTAATGAGTTATGCTAGTTGTTGCCTCTTATATCCACATTCAGTCTTCATTGTCTGTTCTGTAATAATAGATCTGGGCCCTGTAAATACCTCTCCCATGACAGTAAGCACAGAGTGAAACTTTGTCAATCGAGGGTGCTGCTGACACACTGAAGGGGCAAGGGCTGCTTTTCCTGGTTCCATTGTGCTCCTCTAGGCAGACACCTGCAACACCTGTGCCATCTGCAATACCAGCTCCTGTAGCACATACACTCTGCCTCTGCAGCACCTCGTTCTGGCTGCACACTTCTTGGGCGGTGCCTAACTTCAGCAGCACCCAATGGTCAGCAGCGCACAGTACCCCCACATGAATGGCTTCCCTTGACATGCACAAGGTCCCTTCTCTGCAAAGTGCCCCAAGCCCAGCACCTTCTCCAGCTGCAACTCCACAGCCTCAGCAAACCTCTGTCTTTCACAGCTGTGTCCTCTCACACGAAGTCTGGATCTCAGCCCGGATCTCAGCCCTGAGCTTTCTTCTTTGAGTTGTTCTGTCTCAGCCTGGGGTGAAAAGCCCATATCGGCTGTTCCCTGCATCTGCCCAGGCTTCTCTTTATTCCTTACTACCCAATCCCCATTCCAGTCCTCTGTTAATAACTCTTACGGACAGTCCCCAACTCATGATGACTTGACTTAGGATTTTTCTACTTTGCAATGGTGCAAAAGTGATCCGCATTCAGTAGAAACTGTTCCTCAAGTACTCATACGACCTCTATTTTTCACTTTCTGTACAGTATTCAATAAATTGCGTGAGATTTTCAATACTTTATTATAAAATAGGCTTTGTGTTTATGATTTTGCCCAACTGTAAGCTAATATAAGTGTTCTCAGCGTGTTTAAGGTAGGTCAGGTTAAGCGATGATGTTTGGTAGTTTAGGTATATTAAATGCATTTCTGACATACAATATTTTCTACTTACAATGGGTTTTTCAGGATATAACCCTGTTGTAAGTTGAGGAGCATCTTATTTTATTTATTTATTTATTTATTTGAAATGGAGTCTTGCTCTGTCACCCAGGCTGGAGTGCAGTGGCACGATCTTGGCTCACTGCAACCTCTGCCTCCTGGGTTCAAGCAATTCTCCTGCCTCAGCCTCCCAAGTAGCTGAGACTACAGGTGCACACCACCATGCCTGGCTTTTTTTTTTTTTTTTTTAATTTTTTTTTGTATTTTTAGTAGAGACAGGATTTCACCATGTTGGCCAGGCTGGTCTCGAACTCCTGACCTCAAGTGATCTGCCCACCTCGGCCTCCCAAAGTGCTGGAATTACAGGCGTGAGCCACTGCGTCAGGCCGAGCATCTGTATATTAAACTTTCCCCATTCAAATTTCTGTGTGGTTTCTGTCTCCTGACTGGATTCTGATATAATGCTTAACAACCTTTCTAATTACAAAGGTATTACATATAAAATCAGACAAGCAAGAAGACAATCCATCCCACCTTCTAGTACTCTTGCCCTCCAGAGGTAGCTCCAGTTAATATTTTAGTGCTAAACTAGATTTATTTTTGTTTTAAATAGAAAAATAATGCAGGCACGAAAGTAAAACAAAAAACAGTACAGAATGGGAGAGACTGAAAAGTAAGAATGGCTTCCAGGCCCACTTCCTAGAGGTACGCACTATTAACATTTTTAGATATAAACTTCCAGAAATTTTTTTCCAGTTTTATTTAGGTATAATTGACAAAATTATTTATATTTCAGTTGTACAACATGGATGTTCAACATGTTTTGGTGTACATATACTTTCTGATATTATAAATGGTTACCACAAGCAAGCTCAGTAACATATTCAGAAATTCTTAATGTAGCTAGCAATATAAGTGGTTTTGTTTTTTGTTTTGAGACAGACAGGGTCTTGCTCTGTTGCCCAGGCTGGAATGCAGTGGCGCCATCTTGGCTCACTGCAACCTCTGCCTCCCGGGTTCAAGCAAGTCTTGCGTCTCAGCCGCCCTAGTGGCTGGGACTACAGGCATGTGCCACCACACCTGGCTAATTTTTGTATTTTTAGTAGAGATGGGGTTTCACCATGCTGGCCAGGCTGGTCTCGAATTCCTCACCTCAAATGATTCGCCCGCCTCAGCCTCCCAAAGTGCTGGGATTACAGGTGTGAGCCACCGCACCCAGTCATAAGTGGTTTTCTAAACAAATGAGACCACACCATACATACTGTCCCTATATTTCATACTTGGGCAAGGGGAGGGGAGTTGACTTTTTTCTTAGTGAGAATAAAAATGAGGATAAAAGTATGGTTGTTTACCAACTTATAGTAGTATCATGAATTTCGAATGGTCTTCTGGCCGTTCAGAAAACTACTTAACTGGTAGGAACGAAATTCTGGACACTGACATTGATATAGACACTCATATCAAATATAATACTATGAAATACTATGATATGGAAATAATATGCAATCACTAGAGATAAAATATTTTCTACCCAAGTAGAGTGGATTCATAAGAAAATTCTAAATTATAGCATATGTTGAACTCTGAGAAGCCTCTGGAATGAAGTCATTTTTCCCTAACCCCTGTTTCCTCTTTATATTGGCAGTGGATAAATGGAAAGTAAGTTAACTCTACTGTACCAAAGCTAGTTCAATATAGAAAACAGGTTCTACAAGGATTAAGGAACATCTCTTGGCCCACAGAAGATTCATGTGGATCCTGTGTTAAACCCGTTTCATCCATGTATGAAAGTGATTCAACCGTTAAGTTAGCCATTTATTATATAAATTGAATACTTCTTCCATATTGTGGCTTTTAGATAGATTGGCAGACCTGTCCCCAACCCCTTCCCTGTTGACCATGGACAATGGAGGGTTTGCTGTATAAACTTGATTGAAGGGTTTGCCTTTAGCTGGGGTGGATTACTCAGGGACCTCAAAGGTATTGGTGATGATTTATTTCTTGAGCTTGGTGGTGAGTATGCAGGACTGTGTTTTGTTTTGTTTTGTTTTTTAGCAAGCCTTACACATTTTCTTTTGTATGCAATATTTAATAAAATAATTTTGGATAATTTGGTTTTTAGCATTAATCAACAACTTTTTTTACATCCTCAATATGCCCCAAGACAAATTATTGATTCAGCAGTTTTTAGCTGAATCTTTTATTTCTGAATGATTGGAGAGAACGGCAGTATCCATTTCTGGAGAATAGTTAAGTACTTAGATTGAGGATGTCTTTCTTTCATGACATTAAGCAATGCAATATCATCTGCATCCAAGAGCCAACTTAACATGTTCAGTCTAATGAGCCTTGGTAGTCGTAACACACATTGACTCAAAGACTTGACTGTTGTGGCCTGAGCTTTGATACACTCTGTGAAATGCCTGGAGATGTCCAACTCCTGCAAGTTTGGCATGTTGTCCAGTGCTTGAAAGAAATTTCTGTATCCTTCCTCTGTAATCTTGTGATTGATTGAAAGCTTTAGGTTCTCAAGTTTCTGGAAACCTCCACTGATTGCTACTTTGGCTACAAGAACAAAACATTCATGAAAATAGAATCATAAGGACTTCCATTTCAATAATGGTAGACAAGGTTATTTGAACCAGCCTCCTCTCCCACCACTACTGCTAGTAGGAAGTACTCAATATAATTTTGTTTTTTGAAATGGGGTCTTGCTATGTTAACACAGGCTGGTCTCTTTTTCTTTCTTTCTTTTTTTTTTTTTTTTTTTTTTTTTTTTTGAGATGGAGTCTCGCTCTGTTACCCAGGCTGCAGTGCAGTGGCATGATCTCAGCTCACTGCAACCTCCGCCTCCCAGGTTCATGCCATTCTCCTGCCTCAGCCTCCCGAGTAGCTGGGACTACAGGCGCCCGCCACCATGCCCAGCTAATTTTTTGTATTTTTAGTAGAGACGGGGTTTCACTGTGTTAGCCAGGATGGTCTCGATCTCCTGACCTTGTGATCCACCCGCCTTGGCCTCCCAAAGTGCTGGGATTACAGGCGTGAGCCACCGCGCCTGGCCATCACAGGCTGGTCTCAAACTCGTGGACTCAAGTGATCCTCCTGCCTCAGCTTCCCAAGTAGGTGGGATTACAAGCACGTGTCACTGTGCCCAGCTTAATATAATATTTTGAAAATATCTCCTTAAAAACCCCAAAGAGCTGATGGGTTAATAAAGAACCACCTGGCAAAAATCTAAGGGAGAAGCAGAAACCAAAGAAGTACAGCCAAGCCTAAAGCACTGACGCCATTGTGCTGAGAGTTTCACCATCCTGGACAAATATGAGCTTCTCTTTTGGTCTCACAGGAGGTCACATGCCAAGGTACATCATGCCTACAAACCAGACTAAATTGGCAAGTCACAGTGGCTCACGCTTGTAATCCCAGCATTTTGGGAGGCCGAGGTGGGTAGATCACTTGAAGTCAGGAGTTCGAGACCAGGCTGGCCAACATGGTGAAACCCCATCTCTACTAAAAATACAAGAATCAGCCGGATATGGTGGTACATGCCTGTAATCCCAGCTACTCGGGAGGCTGAGGCAGGAGAATCAGCTTGAACCTGGGAGGTAGAGGTTGCAGTGAGCCAAAATCCCACCACTGCACTCCAGCCTGGGTGACAGAGCAAGACTCCGTCTAAAAAACAAAAAGAGAAAACAAAAAAAAAAAAATCCAGACTAAATTACAAGGGACTTCAAAGAGTGTAGCAATTATGTCTTCCCCTTTTATAGAGAAGGGGGTGTGACATTCCTAAAGCCATGTCATCCGACTGTCCACTGCTATGCCCTATTTCTGTTGCCCAGAAGGGACCCTCCTGTTTTTGAGACTAAGGGCTCTGAAGGAAATGGAAGCCGGGCACACCCTGTGTTCTCAATGAACACAGGCTGACTAGACTTTGGAATGGGTACCAAGCAGAGTTCTTGTTGTTTGGTTTAGGGGTTTTTAAAAAAAAAAAAATTTTTTTTTTTGAGACAGGGTGTCACTTGGTTGCCTAGGCTGGAGTGCAATGGTTCAGTTATAACTCACTGCAGCCTAGAATTTCTGGGCTCAAGCAATCCTCCCGCCTCAGCCTCCTGAGTCCTAGCTACTCAGGACTAGCCACCGTGCTTGGCTAATTTTTCAATTTTTTATGGAGACAAGGTCTTGCTATGTTGCCCAATCTTGTCTCAAACTCCTGGCCTCAAGCAGTCCTTCTATCTTGGCCTCCCAACGTGTTGGGATTACAGGCATGAGCCACCATGCCCAGCCTTGTTTTTAATTGCTAAACCTCTTTTTTTTTCTAACTTGGGCAAAGGTTAAGTTTGGTTTCAATCTAGAATCCATGGCTGTAGCTTGACTGAGGTTAAACAACAGAGGTACTGAGAAAATGTCTTCAGCTATGTCCTGAATAGGTATCTTCAGTAACATTCAAGAGATATTTCTCATTCCCCCACATGAAAGACACTTCTGGAGGGACTTGAAGAAAGACTCAGGTCTTTCACATCCATTCCCTTCTTTCCCCTGTTTCAGCATAACTCCCACTTCATATTGTGTGATTAGCCGGTTCTGTGATGTGTCTGAATGCTGTCTCCTACAGGTAAAGTTTAAGCATTACTGACTATAGGCAAACAATGGCCTCTCAGCTGTCCATCAGAAGAAGCTACAGAAAAGTAAGTTTTCTTTATTCAGTCAACAAATATTTACTGAGTTCCCACTATAGGCCAGGCATACTCTGCTGGGCGCCGGGAAGAGAAAACACCTGCTCTCAGGAGGGAGAGCGACAGGGGTTACTGGCTCAAATCTGTGTGTGAGATTGAAGTTCTAAGGAAGGCTTTGACCTAATGTAGTGAGAAGAATAAAACACAAATAATTTATAGTAAATGAGGATGAGAGAGACCACAAAATTTAATGTTATTAAATTCTTCCTCATAAGGAGGAAGAAACAAGGCCTTTAAGAAAAACGTTGTAAGTTGTCATTGTTTTTTGTTTTTTGTTTTTTTTTTTGAGACGGAGTCTCGTTCTGTTGCCCAGGCTGGAGTGCAGTGGCATGATCTTGGCTCACTTCAAGCTCCACCTCCCGGGTTCACACCATTCTCCTGCCTCAGCCTCCCGAGTAGCTGGGACTACAGGTGCCCGCCATCACGCCTGGCTAATTTTTTGTATTTTTAGTAGAGACGGGGTTTCACCATGTTAGCCAGGATGGTCTCGATCTCCTGACCTCGTGATCCATCCGCCTCGGCCTCCCAAAGTGCTGGGATTACAAGCTTGAGCCACCGCTCCCAGCTGTTTTAAATAACGTAAAATAACAGTGCTGAGCAGTAAGAAAATGAGATCCAGCCCTTGTAACACACCCGACAAAGCCTCTCCAATTGGGCTTTTACTTTCCTCTCCAGTCTTCTTCTCACAACTCACTCCTGCCTCTTGCTCCAGACATTCCTTTTTTTCCCCCAAGTTCTTCAAATATATCTGGTTCTCTTTAACTCCAGGCTATGACACAAGTGATTACCTCTGTTTGAAATGATGTCTCAATTCCTCCTCTACCAACTATGCCTGGGCCATTCTCCCTTCAGGTCTCGACAGAAATCTCAGTTCCTCAGGCCAGGCACTGTGGCTCACTTGAGGTCAGGAGTTCGAGACTAGCCTGGCCAACATGGTGAAACCCTGTGTTTACTAAAAATACAAAATTAGCCAGGTGTGGTGGCGTTCACCTGTAATCCTAGCTACTTGGGAGGCTGAGGCAGGAGAATCGCTTGAACCCAGGAGGCAGAGTTTGCAGTGACCCGAGATCGTGCCATTGTACTCCAGCCTGGGCAACACGAGCGAAACTCTGTCTCAAAAAAAAAAAAAAGAAGAAAATAAGAAAATAAAATTCAGTGAGCAGTACACATGATTTTTGTACTTTTCTGTGTGTATATTCATCTTCAGTTTTAAAAAGGAGTACTTAGGAGAGTATGTGGCCAGGTGTCTAAAACACCAGGTGGCAAGAACGCAGATTTGAGGGCTTGTATATCCACAAATGGGAGACCTTTTTGTACTTCCAAATCTGACCAGAATGCGCCTAAATCCACAGAAGGACACTAGAAGGAACAGTATGATAGTGAAAATGAGGAAGCGGGTTGAAAATTTCTAGAGGGGCAAATGTTTACATAGACATGTTGCAGCAGAAAGCTTGGCTATACCACTGGCTTCCATGCAAGCTGAAACACTAGCTCACCAATTTCCACCACGCTGTCATCATTCAAAGTCTTGAAAAATGAGAGGACTCGGAGACAATGAAGCTGCTGACACTGCTGGATGATCAGTTTGGCCACTCGATAAATTCCATCCCCAGTAGGAAGGATCAATTCTTCCAGGTTACTAAGAGAACCTAAAATGTAGGCTGTCAGAAAAGACCAAAAAGCTATTCTCTTTGTACTTTTTGTTCCTATGCAACAGTAATCTGAAAATCATGTATGGTCTAAACATCATGCACAGTCCAGGAAGCAAGAGAAGGGCCAGCACATGCTTCCGTCTTCCTCGCTCCTCCAGACAATTCCTCCACCACACCCTACCAACCAATCTCTCCTGCACTAAAGTCCAGGCTGCCAATTAAATCTCCATTCCTCGTTTAGAATGAAGCTTTTCCTGACCTGCAGGTTCCTTTCCCAGCTCTGCAATGCCTTCAGCCACCTCCTTTCCCATTCCACCTCCCGCTGTCATGCTCAGTGATTCTGCACCGGCCTCCTGGCCCTAAAGCCTCACAGTCCACCACTCTTAGAACCTTCCTTTTCACTTCGACTCCTTCCTAGCATGGCACACGATAGATCATTTGATCATTAGAAAGGTAACTTCTGAGGCCTCACACATGGAAATATATTGAATAATTTCTAGCATAAATCAATGTCCCAGGCTTATCATTTTCTTTCCCTGTCTCAGTTCTTGAATCAGCCAATTTTGCAAGGACCCTGGTTCCTTTACGGAAGGACAGGATTTAGAAATCAGTATCTAGGCACTTGGTGTGTTCATTATTACTGCAGTGCCTTCTAGTCTCTCCACTGAGCTGAGAAATATGTATGTGTGTATCTATAGACATGTGGAGATCAATGTATATATATGGAGATCTCTATGTATGTTCATAGGTTAGAAAAAACCATGAGGCCAGACCAATATTTCCAATTCTAATCCAACACCTCAAAGCTCTTTCTAGCCTCACCTTTCAATATTTGTAAGTTCCTTTTCCAACTGTGAGGAAACGTGGCTCTCATTATACTCACTGTTTTGTTCGTTTGTTTGTTTTTGAGACAGAGTCTTGCTCTGCCACCCAGGCTGGAGTACAGTGACCTGATCTTGGCTCACTGCAATCTCTGCCTCCGAGGTTCGAGAGATTCTCCTGCCTCAGCCTCCCAAGTAGCTGGGACTACAGGCATGTGCCACCACGCCCAGCAAATTTTTGTATTTTTTAGTAGAGATGGGGTTTCACCATGTTGGCCAGGCTGGTCTTGAACTCCTGACCTCAGGTGATCCACCCACCTCGGCCTCCCAAAGTGCTGGGATTACAGGTGTGAGCCACTGCATCTGGCTATACTCACTGTATTATTTGCTTAATCAACCTATGATGTATGCCAGCCATCCCCTTGGCCCTGATCCTACCTCTGCCACCTCAGCCCCCACCCACCTAGCTGCCTCCAAGGAAGGGAAGAGGAGGATCCTGGCAATCTTTATGTACGCTTATGTTTGAGAAGCACTTTGAATAGCACAGCTCTACAGTCCCTATCTCCACTGCCTCCCTTTATTTTTTTTTTTTCCTGTTAGAATGTTTTCCATGAGCATACATTACTTTCATAATCGTTTTTTAAAAATCAAAAAGTATTTAAATTCTATAGCTATCATTTTATGAAATACACGTTTTCACGTATTGAGTTTTCCTAACCTTAAAAGATAGATTTTTACCTATATTCTAGTAACCTTTGAAACTATGAGGTCTTATATTTGGAACAGATACCTGACAATTATATTGCATAGTGCTATAATGACCAAATATGTACTCTAAGAAGTCATTCTGCTTTGAATGAGATCAAGTCTGCAGGTAAAACTGTAGTGAAGGCATTTGGTGGGTAGAAGTTGAGCATGACTATCACTTCGTTCTGGTAAGCAAGGGTAGCTAATGCATATCTTGCTTCCTTGTGGCTAATTCAGAATAGGAGAAAAAGGATTCTGGGCAGAAAGAGAATAAGAATACGTAAAAAGCACTATTTTGTAAACATACCAAATTTTTCTGATGTTTCCTCATCAGGAAATTGCTGGCCTTCAAGATTTAATATCTTCAGAGAAATAAAATTTGGCAAACTGGCAACTATGAAAGGGAAAATAAAAATTTAGTTATGTCAGCTACATGTCTCACAGCAAAGTGTAACATCTTTAAAATGAAGAAATTAGAAATTAATGTAATAATTCAGATTGAATTCATATGACTAAGTAGATAAAACAAATTTTTGCTCAGAAAATAATTCTGATAACTAGAAATGTTGTTAAAATTCTAGAAATTTCAAATCCAACTGAGCGTAAAGGTAAAAAAGAAAATTCTGGAAACACCTATACTTTATTATTTGAGAAACAATTTTTCTTTTCTTTCTTTCTTTTTTTAAAGAGACAAGGTCTGTGTCACCCAGGCTGGAGTGCAGTGATACCATCACAGCTCGCTGCAGCTTCAACCTTCTGGGCTCAAGTAATCTTCCTGCCTTAGCTTCCCTAGTAGCTGGGACTATAGGTACCACTGTGCCCGACTGATTTTTTTAAAGCTTTTTAGAGGTGGAGGGCTTGTTATGTTGCCCAGACTGGTCTCAAACCCCTGACCTCAAGCAAGCCTCCTGCCTCAGCTTCCCAAAGTGCTGGGATTACAGGCATGAGCCACCACACCCAGCCTCAAAATATGGCCCTTTTTAAAGAGTGCTTAATATGACTCTGTGTCCATAGAAACATTTTAAACCACCATTGTAATATTATAACTCTTACCAAATGGGACGGCTTGAAAAAATGAATCCGAAAACTTAATTTCTGTGAGTTTCTTACAGGAAACAAGCATAGTCATGAGAGACCCAAAATCCGAAAAGAAGTTACACTTCAGATGGAAAACATGAAGGTTTGGAGAATTTTGAATTAATTTTACTGTAAAAGATCAAGGATTTTCAGAAATTAGAAAATACTGCAAATTTCTATCAAAATTAGCCAAGTAGTTTATTATTTTGTTTCAATAATACTTAATTAAAACCAGGTACCACGATCTCATGATCTAAGAATCAGGTCACTGGGCTTGGGTTCAGGTTCTGCAACTAGCAAGTAATGTGAATTTTGACACATTATTGACCCTCTCTGGGTAACAGTTTTCTCTTCTATAAAATACAAGCATTGACTCAGTAGCATCACCTTCAGCTTTAACACCTAATAACTCTAAGTTTGTACATGACATTTACACAATAAGAATACAAAGAGGCCAGGTGCTGTGGCTCATGCCTGTAATCCCAGCACTTTGGGAGGCCGAGGCAGGTGGATCATCTGAGCTCAGGAGCTCGAGACCAGCCTGGCCAACATGGTGAAACCCTGTCTCTACTAAAAATACAAACATTTGCCAGGCGTGGGTGGCAGGCAGCTGTAATCCCAGCTACTCGGGAGGCCGAGGCAGGAGAATCGCTTGAACCCAGGAGGCAGAGGTTGCAGTGAGTGGATATTGCGCCACCAAACTCCAGCCTGGGCAACAGAGCAAGACTGCATCTCCAAAAAAAAAAAAAAAAAAAAAAAAAAGAATACTATACAAAGAAACAGCTGGGCATAGTGGCTCACGCCTGTAATCCTAGTACTTTGGGAGGCTGAGGTGGGCGGATCACCTGAGGTCAGGAGTTTGAGACTGGCCTGGCCAACATGGTGAAACCCCGTCTCTACTAAAAATATTAAAAAATTAGCCGGGCATGGTGATGGGCGCCTGTAATCCCAGCTACTTGGGAGGCTGAGGCAGGAGAATTGCTTGAACCCAGGAGACGGAGGTTGCAGTGAGCTGACAACGGTGCCACTGCACTCCAGCCTGGGTGACAGATTGAGACTCTGTCTCAAAAAAAAAAAAGAAACATAAAAGGAATGACAACTCTGAAGCAAAACCTAAATTTGTTGCAAAATTTGCTGACAAATATAACTACCACCTCCAGCTTCGGTGTATATATGTATGCACACACACACACACACACATATATATATATATTTTTTTTTTTTTTTTTTTTTTGAGACAGGGTCTTGCTCTATCACCTAGGCTGGAGTGCAGTGGCATGATCATAGCTTATTGCAAGCTTGAACTTCTGGACTCAAGTGATCCTACCAGCCTCCTGAGTAGCTGGGGACTATAGGTGCACACCATCATACTTGGCTAATTTTTTATTTTTTTAGTAGAGACGATGTCTTGCTATATTGCCCAGCCTGGTGCTGAACTCCTGCTCTCAGGCGATCCTCCCGCCTCGGCCACCCAAAGTGCTAAGATTACAGGTGTGAGTCACTGTGCCTGGCCAACAATGAAGCTTTTGCATGCAAGTCTTTATGTCAATTCCATAGAGTTGTATATTTCTTCAATCTTTAGTGTTCAGTGTTTACTAAGTTAAGGAATGATGGTGCCTAAGTCATTTAGCTAAATGATGTATTTAAGAAAGATGGCTGCACCATTTTCCATGAACTATTAGGATAGGCTGGTGAGAAACAGGGAAATACTTCCAATGACTACGGATTAGCAGATTTCCTTCCTGCTGAGCTGCCAGATCTGTAAGTTGCAATGTAAGACCAGCCTAACCAAAAACAAAATAAAATAACCCTACAAATTATTTTGGAGTGGCAACATTATATTAGGGATTTCTTTCTTTTTTTTTTTTTTTTTCTGAGATGGAGTTTTGCTCTTGTTCCCCATGGAGTTTTGCTCTTGTTCCCCATGGAGTTTTACTCTTGTTCCCCAGGCTGGAGTACAATGGCGCGATCTCGGCTCACATTGCAATCTCTGCCTCCCAGGTTCAGGTAATTCTCCTGCTTCAGCCTCTCAAGTAGCTGGGATTACAGGCATATGCCACCATGCCAGCAAATTTTTGCATTTTTAGTAGAGGCAGGGTTTCACCATGTTGGTCAGGCTGGTCTCGAACTCCTGACCTCAGGTGATCTGCCCTTCTCGGCCTCCCAAAGTGCTGGGATTACAGGTGTGAGTCACCAGGCCCGGCCTATATTAGGGATTAAGAACTCAGATTTTGGAGTCAAAATTCCTGTATTTGAGTCACAGATATACATTTCCTTAGCTGGATATTACGAATTACTTTATCTCTTTATGTCTCAGTTTTCCCAGCTACAAAATAGCATTAATAATAGTACTTTACTTTGGCCAGGCACGGTGGCTCATGCCTGTAATCCCAGCACTTTGGGAGGCCGAGGCGGGAAGATCATGAGGTCAGGAGATCGAGACCATCCTGGCTAACACGGTGAAACGCCGTCTCTACTAAAAATACAAAAAATTAGCTGGGCGTGGTGGCAGGCACCTGTAGTCCCAGCTACTTGGGAGGCTGAGGCAGGAGAATGGTGAACCTGAGAGGAGGAGCTTGCAGTGAGCCGAGATCGTGCCACTGCACTCCAGCCTGGGCGACAGCGCGAGACTGTCTCAAAAAAAAAAAAAAAATAATAATAATAATAATAATAATAATAGTACTTCATAGAGTGGGTATGAAGACTGAGTTCATATTTGTGAAGTGCTTAGGATACTTCCTAGTGTGTAGTAAAGGCTCAATAATTACAAACAGCACTCTGCTTTCTTAATGAGAAAGAGTGCTATTCCTCACAATTTACCATGGATACAGGCTACACCCTTAGAACCACAGGCACTTTAACTCTTAAATAAATTATTGGCCAAGTAGCTTTTCCAACTTACGTAAAAACAAGTATATTAAAGTGCCATCCTTACCTAGTTTGGAAGGATCATACTCAGCTGAAATTTGGATCAATAATTTCTCCATATGGTGGAAGTTTGGAAATTCTTCAGGAATGACTGAAAAAACATTTATATTGCCCTCCAGATCCACAGACAGTTCTTTCAGGCACAGGAACTTATCCAGATTAGGAAAGATTTGGTCTGGAAAGCAGCACAGTTTCCCATTATTAATCTAAAGAGTTCTGAATGGACATTTTAAAACTGTCATTTTGATTCATCCAGCTATTTTCACATGCAAACCTTCCACATACCATAAAACATTCTTTTTTTTTTTTAAAGAATACATATATGAAGATATTGCTTTTTGCAGCTTATGCACTGTATGGGAAGCCCTGTGCTACTCTTCAGACTCACAAAAAGAAATACAGCATCTCGGCTAGGCGCAGTGGCTCATGCCTGTAATCCCAGCACTTTGGGAGGCTGAGGCGGGCGGATCACGAGGTCAGGAGTTTGAGACCAGTCTGGCCAACATAGTGAAACCCCGTCTCTACTAAAAATACAAAAAAAAAAATTAGCTGGGTATGGTGGTGTGCATCTGTAATCCCAGCTACTCAGGAGGCTGAGGCAGGAGAATCACATAAACCTGGGAGACGGAGGTTGCAGTGAGCCAAGATCGCGCCATTGCACTCCAGCCCAGGCTACAGTGTGAGACTCCGTCTCAAAAAAAAAAAAAAAAAGAAGAGAAAAGAAATATAGCATCTCTTCAACAAACGGTTGGGGACAACTGGATTTGCACATGCGAAAGAATGAAGTTGGATTCCTATCCCTCACCATGTAAAAAAAATCAACTCAAAATGGATCAACGACCTAAATATAAAAGCTGAAATCACACAACTCTTAGAAAAAACATAGGAGTTAATCTTCATGACCTTGGATTTGGCAATGGATTCTTAGATAGGACACCAAAAGGACCAGCAATAAAAGAAAAAAACAGATAAATTGGACTTCGTCAAAATTTAAAACTTTCGTGCACAAAGGACATTATAAATAAAGTAAAATGACAACCTATGGAATGGGAAAAATATTTTCAAACTGTGTATCTGATAACAGGTTGAAATCCAGAATATACAAATAACTCTTACAATGCAACAAAAACAACAACAATTTTTAAATGAGCAAACATATTTTTTCAAAAAGTGAAAAGATACTTAACATCATTTTCATGATTTGCATTAGAGAAATGCAAATCAAAACCACAATGAGATACCACTTCACAACTACTAGAATGGCTTTATGATAATCACAAAACAAAATGGGCTGGGTGAGGTGGCTCATACCTGTAATCCCAGCACTTTGGAAGGCCAAGGTGGGTGGATCATTTGAGCCCAGGAGTTCAAGACCAGACTAGGGGCCAGGCACGGTGGCTCATGCCTGTAATCCCAGCACTTTGGGAGGCCGAGGTGGGTGGATCACCTGAGGTCAGGAGTTCAAGACCAGCCTGGCCAACATGGTGAAACCCCATCTCTACTAAAAATACAAAAATTAGCTGGGTGTGGTGGCGGGAGCTTGTAATCCCAGCTACTTGGGAGGCTGAGGCAAGAGAATGGCGTGAACCCAGGAGGCAGAGCTTGCAGTGAGCCGAGATTGCGCCACTGCACTCCAGCCTGGGGGACAGAGCGAGGCTCCATCTCAAAAAAAAAAAAGAAAGAAAAAGAAAAAAGACCAGACTAGGCAACATAGCAAGAATCTGTCTCTACAAAAAATAAAAAATTATCCAGGCACGGTGGTGCATGCTGGTAGTCTCAGCTACTCAGGAGGCTGAGGCAGGAGGATCACCTGAGCTCAAGAGGTTGAGGCTGCAGTGAGCCATGATTGCACCACAGCACTCCAGCTTGGGCAATAGAGCAAGACACTGTCTGAAAAACAACAATGAAAACAAAAACAGGTCGGGCACTGTGGCTCATGCCTGTAATCCTAGCACTTCGGGAGGCCAAGGTGGCTGGACTGCCTGAGCTCAGGAGTTCGAGACCGGCTTGGGCAACATGGCGAAACCCCATCTCTACTAAAAATACAAAAGTTAGCCAGGTATGGTGGTGCACACCTGTAGTCCCAGCTACTCAGGAGGCTGAGACAGGAGAATTGCTTGAACCCGAGAGGTGGAGGTTGCAGTGAGCCAAGATCTCGCCACTGCACTCCAGCCTGGGTGACAGAATTAGACTCTGTCTCCACAAAAACAAAAATTAACAAGTGCTGAAGAGGATGTGGAGTAATTGGAACCTTTGTACATGGATAGTGGGAATGTAAGATGGTGCAGCTACTGTGCAAGTTCCTCAAAAAGTTAAACATAGAACTACCATATGAATCAGCAATTCTGCTTCTAGGTATATACCCAAAATGATTAAAAGCAAGAACTTAAACCGATACTTATAATGCCAGTGTTCATTGCAGCATTATTTATGATAGCCAGAAGGTAGAAACAACCCAAGTGTCTCTCAGCAGCAGAATGGATAAACAAAATGTACTATATACATACCATGGAATATTAGCTATAAAAAGGATGAAGTTCCTTTTCAAAGTTGATACATAATAATTGTACATATTTATGGAGTACATGTGAAGGAATGAAATTCCAATATAGGCTACAACATGATGTACCTTGAACAGTATGCAAAGTGAAATAAGCCAGACAAGTGATAATGCTTATAAACAATATCTAGAAGAGGCAAATTCATAGAGACAGAAAATAGAAGAGAAGTTATCAGGGGCTGGTGGGAGGGAAGATTTTTTTTTTTTTTTTTTTTTTTTTTTTTTTTTGAGACGGAGTCTCACTCGGTAGCCCAAGCTGGAGTGCAGTGGCATGATCTGGGCTCACTGCAACCTCTGCCTCCCAGGCTTAAGTGATTCTCATGCCTCAGCCTCCCGAATAGCTGGGACTACAGGCGCATGCCACCACGCCCAGCTAATTTTTTGTATTTTAGTAGAGATGTGGTTTCACCATGTTGCCCAGGGTGGTCTCAAACTCCTGAGCTCTGGCGATCCACCCTCTTCGGCCTCCCAAAGTGCTGGGATTACAGGCGTGAGCCCCCGCGCCCGGCCCAATTTATTGTTTAATTGGGATGATGAAAAGGTTCTGGAGATGGATAGTGGTGATGGTTGTACAACATAGTGAATGCTTAATGCCACTGAGTTGTACACTTAAAATGATTAAAATGTAAGCTTTGTTACATGTATTTTACCATAATAAAACAGTACTTGAAAAAAGATGAAAAATTTTCTAAATTTGGTAAATGTCAACCCACACATTCCAAAAAAGTTCAGTGCACCTCAAGCAAGATACATACAAAGCAAAGCACACCTAGGCATATAACAGTCAAACTGCTTAAGACCAAAGCAATACTAGCAACAATTAGAAAATGAAAAAATATTTTTAATGACATTTACAATACTTTCAAAAGATATGAGTATCTAGGAATAAATTTAATGAAAGATGGGTTAAGTCTACACTGAAAACTATCAAATAGTGCTTAGAGGAGTTAAGACACAAATAGATGAAGATATTATTTCCCATTAATTTATTTATTTCCCAGGGACTACAGGCCTTTCTTCCTTTAGGCAGCTAGGGTGAAGGTAATTTCTAAGCATCATCTTACATATAGCTAATTCTTTTACTAATAACAGATAATTCATGTCTTTATTAAGAACCTTCAATAATTTAATATAAATATTTTATTCATTTTGTCTGAGTTATTTGAAAACCATTCTATTATTCAAGGACTTTTCACTAATTCATGCTACTGTCAAAAAAAATTAGTGAAGGTTTATTTTATATCTGTTCTATCAATGAGCATGCATGCTTTCATGGCCTCAGAAGTTTTCAACCACTTAAAGTAAGAAAAAGAAATTATACATCAGAATAGTCATCCAAAATATATACAGGTATACCTTGTGACTGGATTGTCCCTGAGACTTCAAGAGATTCCAGGGAAGGCAGGGTGAGAAGCAGTTCCTGTTCGGCTGCGCTGAGTTCCAACTTGCTTATGGAGCACTTGGTGACAGAGGCCTTAGACAGCTCAAGAGCTGGGCGGATGCTTTCTATAAAGCCTCTGCTGTGGTTTAAATGGAGTTCGATGCGCTGTGAAGCTGAGAAAACTGTCATTAGAATCTCAAGCATATCCTGGCCTACAACATCAATATCATTCACATCGACTTCTAGACAGGGAATCTTGTACTGCTTTGGAGAAAGTTTCCAATAGCCAGTACTAAGGTCTGGTGATGCCCTGCGCTGCATATCCATATAGCTCTTTACATTATCCTCTTTTTCAGCTAAATTTCGCTCCCATTCATTCATAGGTTCAAAGGCAGAAGCATAGTCCTGATCTATAGTTGGCACCTGTGATTTGTCAAAACATGTTTCCAGAACTGAAAAATGTGCTCTGGGTGATGTCTTATTTCCTCGTATTGGGAAGTGGATGCTCCTCAACAATGACAAGCTTTCTGGGTGGTCGAAAAAGTACTGTAAGTTAAGCGCACCCAAAGTCAGTGTTCTCCCTTGAAGGAATTGCAAAACAAATGGAGAACACGCAGCAACAGTGTTGCTTTGATAAGCAGTTTTCAGGGCAAGAACCAGTAAATGTTCTGAAACCATTGAAAAGTAAGCTTGTGGACAAATTTGCCACAATCCCCTAAGTAACTGCATCTGCAGTGAAATTTCTGGCTGGTGCTTTAAGTAGTCATCATTTTCAGATATATTCTCCAATGACTCTTTGTTATCCACTAAATGGAGCAAATGAGACACAATTTTGGGCCCTGCTTTTGTTGAAGGGAGGCTGGAGACATAGTTCAAAAAATTGTTGTAGGCGCTTACAGTCATCATGGGTGAGTTGATTTGTTTCAAATGATACAGTCCCAAATCTTGATGTTCCTGCCTATCTGAATCCAGGAGTTCAATCAGCCTCATCCCCGCAAGAAATTCTTGGAAGGCAGGACTTAAAAACCGGTAGAATGGTCTTAGTCTCTGGGCTGTAAATTTGCTCATCAAGCACATGGTTAGATCTTCATCTTCATCAACCCCTGCTTCTGCGAGATCATCATCATTAAACTCAAAGCAACATGAAAAAAACCCTTTCAAGGCCAGCTCACCACAGGAGGACACAGTTGCTTTGAGAATTTCAGCTGTCGCTTTGTTCCTTAAGGAAAGGCGTTCCATATAGGACTTGAAAACAGCCACATCATCAAAGGATGGGTCAAAAGGATACTGAAACCAATGAGCACAGATCGCCGCCACAAAGAGAGGAGTTTTCTGTATCTTCTGCAAACTTTGGTTCTTTCCAAAGTAAACCATAAACTTTCGCAGACGAGTCATATTATGTGAAAAGAGCTTCCGTAATATACAGACAGTATTATAAAAGGGAAATGCTTTGATCTCTAGAATGGTCTCTAGGTATCGGCGGATGTCCCTGGCCCTGTTTGTACGGACAGCAATCAATAGGCAGGTCCGGGATAAGTGGTTTTTTTGAATCAGTTTTCCTATGACTTGAGGGATTGAACATATTTCTTTGTAGTCATCTAAAAGGAATAAGACCTGATTCTTTAACTGCTGGATAATGTTCCTCATGCACATTTCAGTAACAGATCCTTCTTTCTCTAGGAGCTGGTCACAGATGATACTGGCCAGCCCCTCGTCTGGTCTGGTGGAACTAAGGGAGAGGTAGAAAACCAGCTGGAACCTGTTTAACAGGGGACAGCATCCAGATGCCCACAGAAAAGCTATTTTCTTCAGGAGGACCGTCTTTCCACTTCCAGCTTCACCCTCCACACACATGACAGAGTTCAAGTTGCCAAAGACCTCAGGCAGCACCAGAGGTTCTTGCACAGGTTTGCTGATGTGTTTTGAAGCAATAGACAGATCACAGCCCAGCAAGTGGTCCGTGGCCAGATCGGAAGAGATATCAAGCAAAGACATGTGGCGGAAACTGGCGCTGGTATAAGCTGCTCTCAGCTGCTCATTCAGATTCTTTGCCTCTTGAAACCACTGGGCTTCACCCTGTGCCATTTCTGTGCAGAGAAAGAAAGGGGGGCACAACAGGGATTCATAGTCACATCTCCCTCAGTCTGAACGCCATGCCTTTTCATTCCATGATTCTGCCTGTCTACTACGAATGTGTTAGGATTTTCCACAGCCATCCATGATTCCCACATTGCGATCATCTCATAGGTTTTGGCACAAAATCGGAATGTGGGAAGCATGTGTCCAAAGTGCCACACTTGAAGCAGGGACCTAGACATAATGTGTGCTTATCATAAGCACCATGCATCTCAGGAAAGAGGCCAGGCAAAGTGACTCATGCCTGTAATCCCAGCACTGTGGGAGACCGAGGCAGGCGAATTGCTTGAGCCTAGGAGTTCAAGACCAGCCTGGCCAACATGGCAAAACCCTGTCTCTACAAAAAATACAAAAAATTAGCCAGGTGTGGTGGCACATGCTTGTGGTCCCAGCTACTGGGGAGGCTGAGATGGGAGGATCACTTGAGCCTGGGAGGTCGACGCTGCAGTGAGCCATGATCTTGCCATTGCATTCCAGCCTGGGTGACAAAGTAAGACCCTGTCTCAAATAAAATAAAATAAAATAAAATGAATAAAAATAAAAATCTCAGGAAAGAAGTTTACTGATTGGTGCTTCTAAGGACTGGTTTGCTTGTACCTGAGACACGTTGCCTACTATCAGTTTGGTCCTGCCTGCACTCTGGAGAAGCCACAAGAATCTTGACTTTTGCTCATACACGACACTGTTGCAATGCTGCTCCTCTTTGGAAGCTCTTTGGACAATTATAAATACTCTTTTTTTTGCAACTGCCCTGTATACAAATATATTTACAAATACATATAATCCCACGTGCTACTTCAAAGTTCTTACCTGGCACTATAGGACCAACTGCTATTGAATCTTCAAGATTGCTTTCACTTGTGGTTTCCTTTGAAAAATAAAATCTTTTCTTAAATCAAAATTTGTATAGGAGAGTGGTGCATCATGTTGTAATCATTGGAGACTAAACATCTTCTAAACACAGCCCACCCTCAAATATTTATGCTGATTGAAGGGAGGGGTGCTCCAAATATAAAGCAATTAATAATCTGCAAACATCTGCAGGAATGTGTGTTCCTCAGTGGTTCATATATGATACAATCCATGGGTGATACTATCCAGGTAACGAGAATCATAGTGTCTTGAGCAAGAAGGTTCCTCCAAAAGTCATTAGGTGCAGCCTCTGTCCTTGGTTAACTACATTTTTAATATTACACATCCAGTACTTAGAAAGGTTATGTTTCTTCCTTAAAAAATAAGCTATTTCTATATCCCCAAACTTTTTTCTTTAGTGCCATTTTTCAATTCATATAGAAAATGAATCACGTGAATAGCAAGTTGGTTTTTGTGTGTGTTGGGGGTGGGGGGATGACAAACATAACATACCTAACACACAGCCTCAAAATAAGGTGGTATATGTGTGCATTAAATTAGTAGTGGCTTAGATCCCAGAGAACTAGGTAGGATTTCTCAGCTTAAAGTGGTCAGCCTATTACCTGGGTTTATGATTTTGTTGGGCACTTGCTTTTGTTAAAGTAACATCTTCTCAACCCCTAAAAAGGCCAAGTAGCAAATCCAGCCTTATTGCCCTCCACATGAAGATCCAGAGAGGATCCATTTAGCCTGGATGCTAATCAACAAAGTCTAAGAGAGTCTGGGCCTTGAAGTAGAAGAGATTGACTATACATTTCATGAAGCTAGGTATTGTGCCCGACTGGTTTATTGTGATTTCCCCAATCTGTACCTAGAACATAACAGATGTTTAGTAGATGTTTGTAGAATTTATTAACTTATTTATGATGAGACATTCCTGTTCAAAACAGTTTTCAATTATATGATCATGTGCTGGTAAAACAGACAAGATGACGGTGTTCATTACCAGTAATTCACAAAGTTCACCACGGCTCTGAAGGTCTGGAGTCACTTCCGCAGAGGACTTCATATTTTGGAGAAATGGACAACTAAGTGTAAAAGTTAAAAGTTATAAAAATAGTTGTATGCATTTAAGTATTTGTGTTAGGTATTTTTGTTGTTGTTGTTGCTGTTGTTGTTTGTTTTGTTTTTTCAGAGACAGGGTCTCACTATGTTGCCCAGGCTGTTCTGGTTTCAAACTTCTGGCCTTGAGCAATTCTCCTCCCTAGGCATCCCAAAGTGCTGGGATGATAGGTGTGAGCCGCCAGGCCTGGCCTTGTATTAGGTTTTTAAAAACACTATTAGAGTTTTAGTGACAAGAATTAAGTATAAAACTATCATTTCCAGTGATTCTCTCTGTCAGTGTCATCAGGTAAGGCACTTAGGTTGTGGCTCTCTGCAAGAGAAATGTAAATGGTTTATAAAGTAATGGTAAAGGATATCAAGGGAATTTGGTGGAATGAGTGCGTATATGACACTCCTCCATGCAACCAACAAAAATGAACTTAAAGAATCAAAAATAGGAAAAAAAAAACCCTCTATTTATGAATTCTGGAACAAAAAACAACATAGTGGAAAAACTGGTGAAATCCAAATAAACTCTGGATTTTAGTAAATAGTAATGTACAGTATATGAATTGGTACACTGATGATTTTGACAAATATGCTAGTGTAAGATGTTAGCATTAGGGTAAATTGGGTATGGCAATATATAGGAACTCTTTGTATTACTTTGCACTTTCTGCAAATCTAAATAATTTCAAATAAAAATTTATTAAAAAAAGAAAAAAACTCTGTGAGTGCGGTGGTTCACACCCAAAATCCCAGCACTTTGGGAGGCCGAGGCGGGCAGATCACTTGAGGCCAGAAGTTTGAGACCAGCCTGGCCAACATGGCAAAACCCTGTCTCTATTAAAAAGAAAATTCCAAAATTAACCAGGCAGTGGTGGCGCACACCTGTAGTCCTAGCTACTTAGGAGGCTGGGGCACAAGAATCGCTTGAACCTGGGAGGCGGAGGTTGCAGTGAGCTGAGATTGTGCCACTGCACTCTAGTCTGGGCAATGGAGTGAGACTCTGTCTCAAAACAAAACAAAAAACAAACAAGGCCAGGCATGGTGGCTCACGCCTGTAATCCCAGCAGTTCGGGAGGCTGAGGCGGGTGGATCACTTGAGGTCAGGAGTTTGAGACCAACCTGACCAACATGGTGAAACCTCACCTCTACTAAAAATACAAAAATTAGCCGGGCGTTGTGGCGGACGCCTGTAATCCCAGCGACTTGGGAGGCTGAGGCAGGAGAATTGCTTGAACCCAAGAGGCAGAAGTTGAAGTAAGCCGAGATCGCACCATTGCACTCTAGCCTGGGCAACAGGAGTGAAACTCTGTCTCAAAAACAAACAAACAAACAAACAAAAAACTAACCAACCACAAACCACTCCATTGCCAGGTGCAATGGCTCATGCCTGTAATCCCAGCACTTTGGGAAGCCAAAGTAGGAGTTTCACTTGAGGCCAGAAGTTCAAGACCAGACCAACCTGTGCAACATAGAGAGACCTCCTCTAAAAATTAGCTAGCAGGGTGGCATGCATGTATAGTCCCAGCTACTTGGGGGTGCTGAGGCAAGAAGATCACTTGAGGCCAGGAGGTTGGGGCTACAGTGAGCCGTGATTGCATCACTGCACTCCAGCCTGGGTGACAGAGTAAGACCCTGTCTTAAACAAACAAAAAATTAAAAAAGAAACCCTCCGTCAGTATCAAAAGAAAAGAATGGCCACAAACATACTCTCTAAAAACTACTTGCCAATCTCGTGAAACTAGGACGCAAATACCCTCTAAACTCAGGTTTGATGTATGCTTGAAGAACAAGAGAGAAAGTTCAAAAAGAGCTCTAGTTGCAATTATTAAAATGGACAGATGAGAACTATACATGTGAGTAAGTCAGTGGCCTATTCCATGCTGTAGAATCACTGGAGAGCAGGAGTAAAGCAAAGGGACACTTTTTTTTTTTTTTTTTTTTTTTTGAGACAAGGTCTCACTCTTTTGTCCAGGCTTGAGGGTAGTGACACGACCAAGGATCAATGTAGCCTCCAACTCCCAGGCTCAAGTGATCCTCCCACCTCAGCCTCCCAAGTAACTGGGACTACAGGCACGTGCCACCATGCCAGGCTAATTTTTTTTTTTTCTGGGCTCAAGGTATCCTCCCACCTCAGTTTCCCAAAGTGCTGGGATTACAGGCGTGAGCCACTGCATGTGGCCCAGATACTTCATTTGTATTGCCTTCAGGTGACTTGGCGATGAGTCCAGAAATAGAAGCATAGCTTCAGGAAAACAACAAGTAGAACTTTTAACGTTTCTGTCCAAAGTCAGCCATGTAGAGGTAAATAAAAACAAACCCATAGGGAAGGGGTGAAGTGGCTTACAAAAGAAAAAAAATATTTTAATAGGCCCATCAAGGAAAAGAACTATGAAGGAAGGTAAAATATAAACTTATTCATACAAACAAATGCCAAATAAAGTCAGTTGCCAGCATAACTGCACTACAAAAAATGTGAAAGGGACCAGGCACAGTGGTTCACCCCTGTAATCCCAGCACTTTGGGAGGCTGAGGCAGGCAGATCATGAGGTCAGGAGTTCAAGACCAGCCTGGCCAACATGGTGAAACTCTATCTCTACTAAAAATACAAAAATTAGCCTGGCATGGTGGTGGGCACCTGTAATCCTAGCTACTCAGGAGGTTGAGGCAGGAGAATCACTTGAACCCGGGAGGCAGAGGTTGCAGTCAGCCGAGATCGTGGCGCTGAACTCCAGCCTAGGAGACAGAGCAAGACTCCATCTCAAAAAAAAAAAAAAAAAAAAAAAAAAAAAAGTGAAAGGAAGCACATCATTTAAAAGGAAAATGATAGCAGATGGAAATTTGGTTCTACTCAAAGGAATGAAAAGTACCAGGAATGATAAGATAACTAAGAGGGCAAATATGAAAGACTTTTGCCGTTGTAAAAATGTACTTAAATTGTTTAAAGCAAAGATATAACATTATATTGTAAGATTTATTAAAGTACATGGAAATAAAATGTATGACAATAGCACAAAGGATGAGAGGGGAGAAATGGAAATATACTATTGTATGGTTCATACATTTTATGTCAAGTGTTATATATTTTTTTGACCCAGAGTCTCACTGTGTCACCCAGGCTGGAGTGCAGTGGCACGATCTCAGCTTTCTGCAGCGTCTGCTTCCTGGGTTCAAGCAATTCTCGTGCCTCAGCCTCCCAAGCAGCTGGGATTACAGGTGTGCGCCACCACACCCAGCTAATTTTTTTGTATTTTTAGTAGAGACGGGGTTTCACCATGTTGCCCAGGTTGCTCTGGAACTCTTGACCTCAAGTGATCTGCCTGCCTCAGCCTCCCAAATTACCGGGATTACAGGCATGAGCCACTGCACCCAGCTGTTATAATATTTTTGAAGATTACTATGATATGTTAAATAGGCATATGGTAAACTCTAGAGCAAGTAGTAAAAAGGTAAAATAAGGATTAATAGCTAATAAGCTGACAGAAATAAAATGGAGTACAAAAAAAAATACTCAAGGAGGGGGTAGAAAAAAGAAAAAAAAAAAAACCCTAAACCCTAGGAAGTCAGGAAAAGAAAAAGAAACAAAGAAGTGATGAAATAAATAGAAAGCAAATGGTAAAATAGGTTTAAATCCAACCATATTCATAATTGCATTAAATTTAAACGTTCTAAACATTCCAATTAGAAAGCAGTTATTGTCAGACTCTTAAAAAGCAAGACCTGGCCAGGCGTGGTGGCTTACGCCTGTAATCCCAGCACTTTGGGAGGCCAAGGCAGGTGGATCATGAGGTCAGGAGATCGAGACCATCCTGGCTAACACGGTGAAACCCCGTCTCTACTAAAAATACAAAAAATTAGCCAGGTGTGGTGGCGGGGTGCCTGTAGTCCCAGCTACTCGCGAGGCTGAGGCAGGAGAATGGTGTGAACCCAGGAGGCGGAGCTTGCAGTGAGCCAAGATCGTGCCACTGCACTCCAGCCTGGGCGACAGAGCAAGACTCCGTCTCAAAAAAAAAAAAAAAAGAGAAAACCTGGCTGGATGTGGTGGCTCACACCTCCATCTCAAAAAAAAAGCAAGACCTGCTGGGTTCAGTGGTCCACACCTGTAATCCCAGCACTCTGGGAAGACAAGGCAGGAGAATTGCTTGTGGCTAGGTGTTCGAGATCAGACTGGGCAACATAGTGAGACCTTGTCTCTATAAAAAACTAACAAACTTAGCCAGGCTTGGTGGCATGTGCCTGTAGTCCCAGCTACTCAGGAGTCTGAGGTGGGAGGATTGCTTGAGCCTGGGAAGTCCAGGCTGCAGTGAGTCAAGACTGCACCACTGCACTCCAGCGTAGGCAACAGAGCGAGTCTGTCTCATAAACAAATAAAAAATAAAATAAAAGACCCCACTGTGTTGTTGCCTATAACAATTCACTTTAAGGCTGGGTGCAGTGGCTCATGCCTGTAATCTCAACACTTAGGGTGGCAGAGGTGGGAGGACAGCTTGAGCCCAGGAGTTTGAGATCTGCCTGGGCAACATAGTGAGACCCCGTTACCCACAAAAAGGAAAAGGAAAAAACAAGAATTGACTTTAAATATAGTCACAGATAGATTAAAAAGAAAATAATCTAAAAGATGTAACATGAAAAAACTAATAAAGGCCTAAAAAATACTATCAAGGATAAAGAGGGATATTTCTGTTTTTTAGAGACAAAGTTTTACTCTGTCACCCAGGCCACAGTACAGTGGCACAATCATAGCTCATTGCAACCTATACTCCTGAGCTCAAGCGATTCTCCTGCCTCTGCCTCCCAGGTAGCTGGGACTACAGATGCATGCTACCACACCCTGTTTGTTTTAAAAATTTTTTGTAGAAATGGAGTCTAGCTATGTTGCAAAGGCTAGTCTCAAACTCCTCGCCTTGTGCACTCCTCCCACCTCAGCCTCCCAAAGTGCTGGGATTATAGGTGTGAACCACCATGCCTGCTTGGGATATTTAATATATTCTCTGGAATATGAAAGACCAAAGGGCAAAAAAATAGCTAAGACACACTCTTGAAGAGAAAGAACAAGACTATTCTGCAGGAAAATATGAAAATAAGCTCAACTGCCGGGCGCGGTGGCTCACACCTGTAATCCCAGCACTTTGGGAGGCTGAGGTGGGTGGATCACCTGAGGTTGGGAGTCCGAGACCAGCCTGACCAACATGGAGAAACCCCATCTCTACTAAAAATACAAAATTAGCTGGGCGTGGTGGCACATGCCTGTAATCCCAGCTACTCGGGAGGCTGAGGCAGGAGAATCACTTGAACCTGGGAGGCGGAGGTTGTGGTGAGCCGAGATCGTGCCATTGCACTCCAGCCTGGGCAACAAGAGTGAAACTCCGTCTCAAAAAAAAAAAAAGAAAGAAAAAAAGAAGAAGAAAATAAGCTTAACATTATTAGTAATTACACTGACAAAAATTAAAATTTGGGCAATACCAAGTTAGTGAGGAAGCAAATCAATAGAAACGCATCTAGGCCAATGGGAATGTAAATCAGTGCAACCACTTGGGAAAAAGCTTTGCATTATCTAGTGGAGTTGAACACCCGCAAAGTTCTATGACTCTGCAATTCTTTACTTTGTTATGTATCCTAGAGAAACACACATGAGCACTGGAAAATATGTACAAGAATGTTCATAGGGCATTATTTGAATTTGCAACACTCTGAAAACGACCCACGAGGTTAATCAACAGTAAAATAAGTTATTATATATTCATAAAATAATACACTATTTACCAATGAAAACAAGTGAACTACAACTGTGTAGTACATATAAATATGGATGAATCTCAAAAACATCGTGGAGTAAAACCAGCCAATTACAAGAAGAATCATGCAGTATGCTTCTTATTTGAACTTCAAGAATAGACAAAGCTAAATATGTTTAAGGATGTATATGTAGTTGGTAAAACCACAAAGAGAAGCAAGGGAATAATTAACCCAAACTGAGCATCACATTTACCTCTGGATTGGAGGGACAGGGATATAATCAGAATTAGGGGGTGGTTGGCATGCAGAGTTGTTTTTTGTTTTTTGATTTTTTTTTTTTGAGACAGAGTCACGCTCTGTCGCCCAGGAGTGCAATGGCGCCATCTTGGCTCACTGCAACTTCCGCCTCCCAGGTTCAAGCCATTCTCCTGCCTCAGCCTCCCTAATAGCTGGGACTACAGGCGTGTGTCACCAGGCCCGGTTAAATTTTTCTGTTTTTTAACAGAGATGGGGTTTCACCATGTTGCCCAGGCTGGTCTCGAACTCTTGAGCTCAGACAATCTGCCCACATCGGCCTCCCAAAGTGCTGAGATTACAGGCGTGAGTCACTGCACCCGGCCGCAGGGGTCTTTTAAGGCATTGATAATGTCCAATTTCTTGACTTTACTAGGAGGTTCATAGGTTGCTTTTTATTCATTCTTTAAAGCATACATAAAAATTTTAGGTAATCATTTGGAGACATACTGGTTTGCAGTTTTTTTAAGAGGAAAAGGAAGAGTAAAAATCCAAAAAGGAGTTGGCTGGGAGCAGTGGCTCATGCCTGTAATCCAAGTACTTTGGGAGGCTGAAGCAGAAGGATCATTTGGAGCCAGGAGTTTGAGACCAGCCTGGGCAACAAAGCAAGACCCCATCTCTACAAAAAAAAAACTTTAAAAAATTAGTCGGGCATGGTGACACATGCTTGTAGTCCTAGCTACTTGGGAGGCTGAGGTGGGAGGATCACTTGAGCCCAGGAATTTGAGGCTACAGTCAGCTAGGATTGTACCACTGCACTTGCTCCAGCCTGGGTGACAGAGCCGAGACCCAGTCTCTTAACAAAAAAACACTAAAGGCCAGGTGTGGCGGCTCACACCTGTAATCCCAGCACTTTGGGAGGCTGAGGCAGGAGGATCACTTGAGGTCAGGAGTTCAAGACCAGCCTGGCCAACATGGTGAAACCCCGTCTCTACTAAAAGTACAAAAAATTAGCCAGGCATGGTGGGGAGGTACCTGTAATCCCAGCTACTTGGGAGGCTGAGGCAGGAGAATCGCTTGAACCCGGGAGGCGGAGGTTGCAGTGAGCCGAGATCACGCCACTGCACTCCAGCCTGGGTGACAGAGTGAGACTCCATCTCCAAAACAACAACAACAAAACACTAAAACTAATAATAATAATAATAGTATAAAAGGGAGTTGATCGATTCCAGAGTAAGTTCTAAATAAGACTAGACTGCATCCTAGCTTATCCTTCCAAGAATTAAGTAGAATGTCCCCATTGTTCTCAATAATTTATTATACACTAAGCCCAAATAAGAAAGAAAAATGAGGTAACTACTGCTATCAAAATACCTTCAAGGCAATAAAATTAGATAGAAGTATTCATTTTGTTTTATTTTTGTTTTTACCACTATACAAATGAGCAGGAAGCATTCATTTTAAAATCTGTATGTGTTCATATTCATTTCTAAAAAAAAAACTCTTACTAATTACATAGTGAAAACACAAATTTCTTCTTGCAATTAAACATTTCTAAAGAGTTTGATGGGTAAAAAAAAATTAAGTTTAAAGATTCATAGAAAAGAAATATTTCTTCATAAAATTTTAGAACAGATATTTTTCTGAAAGCTTCCAGCAGAGGAAAAAAAAAATTTTGTTTGCAGTAAAAGGATTGACAAGCAGAAAGGCATGGAACTTCTCGACAGCACATTAGGAACCAGTAGAAATGTAGCAGTGCCTCTACAATTTAGAATTAAAATGACTTCCAACCTATAATTCTACACCTAGCTAAACTATCAAATAAGTGTGAGAATACAGGAAAAACATATATCTAGATAGATCTATATGTCTGTATATGCATTATATGCAACTAAAAGTGTGTATTTCTTATGCAGTCTTTCCCAGGGAACTCCGATGAAGTGTTCCAACAAAATGAGCAAGTGAACCAAGAAGAGGATGACATTAGATCCAGGAGATACAACAGAGGAGATAATCTCCAGGATGCCTGTGAAGAAAGATCCCTGGATCCCAGGATGATTATAGGACAAGTTGTTCATAATCCAGCAGGCCAGAAGACTTCCAGGGAAACTCATTCAAGGAGGTGAAAATGATGGATGACTCCTCCAAGATGAAAATGGACCAGCCGCAGTGGCTCACGCCTGTAATACCAGCACTTTGGGAGGCTGAGGCAGGCGGATCACTTGAGGTCAGGAGTTTGAAACTAGCCTGGCCAACGTGGCAAAACTCCATCTCTATTAAAAATACAAAAATTAGCCAGGCATAGTGGTGCATGCCTGTAGTCCCAGCTACTTGGGATGCTGAGGCAGGAAGAATTGCTTGAACCTGGGAGGCAGAGTCTGCAGTGAGCCGAGATCATGCCACTGCACTCCAGCCTGGGTGACAGAGCCAGACTCCGTCTCAAAAAAAAAAGAAAAAGAAAAAAAAAATGATGACTCTTTCAAGAAATGAAAATGATGAGATATCTGGTAGGTCTGAATGACTTAAGAGGAGATTTAAACATTTGGGATAAGTTGAAGATGAGCTGGTGTTCGTCTTCATTTATTTCATTTAAATAAATAAAATTATTAATACATGAATTTTATCTCAAGAAACAAAAATAAGCAATGTACATAAAAATTAAGCAGATGGCTGGCCGGGCGCGGTGGCTCACGCCTGTAATCAGAGCACTTTGGGAGGCTGAGGCGGGTGGATCACGAGGTCAGGAGATGGAGACCATCCTGGCTAACACGGTGAAACCCCGTCTCTACTAAAAAAATAAATAAAAAATAAATTAGCCGGGCGTGATGGCAGGTGCCTGTAGTCCCAGCTACTCGGGAGGCTGAGGCAGGAGAATGGCATGAACCCAGGAGGCGGAGGTTGCAGTGAGTGAGATCACGCCATTGCACTCCAGCCTGGGCGACAAAGTGAGACTCCATCTCAAAAAAAAAAAAAAAAAAAAAAAAAAATTAAGCAGATGGCTATAATTTTTTTAAAAATAGAAAAGTGTTGATGAGAAATGGGAAACCTCATACATTGTTGGTCAAACTGTATGCTTCCATTTAGAGGAAATAGTCAGAACAAATAAATCCATAGACACCAATTAGGTTGGTGTATCCCAGGGGCTGGGCATGGAGTGGGGTGGAGAGAGAAGGAGGGCCTGCTTAGTGGATACAGAGTTTTCTTTCTTTGGGGGCGATGAAAGTGTTTTGGAACTAGATAGAGGGGGTGGTTGCACAACATTGTTGTTGGTGGGAATTTAAAATGGTGCAAGCACTGTGGAAAAAACAGTTTAGCATTTCCTCAAAAAGTTAAAACAGGCCAGGCGCTGTGGCTCACGCTTGTAATTCCAGCACTTTGGGAGGCCAAGCCAGGTGGATCACTTGAGGTCAGGAGTTTGAGACCAGCCTAGCCAACATGGTGAAACCCTAAAAATACAAAAAATTAGGCGGGCATGGTGGCAGACACCTGTAATCCCAGCTACTCAGGAGACTGAGGCAGGAAAATTGCTTGAACCTGGGAGGCGGAGGTTGCAGTGAGCTGAGATTGCACCGCTGCACTCCAGCCTGAGTGACAGAGTGAGACTCTGTGTGAGAAAAAAAAAAAAAAAGTAAAAACATAGAATTACTATACAGCTAGCAATATCGTTGTTAGGTATATGCCCCAGAGACTTGAATACAGTTACATGCTCCATCAGATACCTGTACCCAAATGTTCCTATCGGTATTACTCATGGTAGCCAAAAGGTAGAAACAACCCAAATATCTACAAATAGATGAATGGATAAATAAAATGCAGTGTATCCATATGGAATATTACTTGGTCTCAAAAGGAAGGAAGTACTTATGCAAGCTACAACATGGATAAACTTCAAAACAATATGCCAAGTGAAAGAATCCAAATGCAAAAGGTCAAACGGTATGCTTCCATTTAGAGGAAATAGTCAGAACAAATAAATCCATAGACACCAATTAGGTTGGTGTATCCCAGGGGCTGGGCATGGAGTGGGGTGGAGAGAGGAGGGGGGCCTGCTTGATGGATACAGAGTTTTCTTTGGGGGCGATGAAAGTGTTTTGGAACTAGATAGAGGGGGTGGTTGCACAACATTGTGAATGTACTATAATAAATGCCACAGAATTGTGTACTCTAAAATGGTTTAATTGCTGTGCATGGTGGCTCACGCCTATAATCCCAGCACTTTGGGAAGCCAGGATGGGAAGACTGCTTGAGCCTAGAAGTCTGAGAGCAGCCTGGGCAACATAGAGAGACCCTGTCTCTTAAAAAAAGAAAAAAAAATTAGCTGGGTGTGAAGACATGTGCCTGTAGTCCCAGCTACTTGGGAGGCTGAGCGAGGAAGATTGCTTGAGCCAGAGAGGTCAAGGCTGCAGTGAGCCATGATTGCACCACTGCACTCCAACCTGGGCAAGAGAGAGAACCTGTCACAAAAAATAATAAATAAATAAATAAAATGGTTACTACCTGAATTTTACCTCAGGAAAAAAAAATAAGCTAACATACCAACAGGACAGTTATTACTTCCTAAAAAAATAAAAGGATATACAGGAAGGGAAAAATAAATAAAAATTTACCACAAGCTTCAGCTCCACATAGCATTTGTATAGTCATGATAATGTAAACATGTAATGTGAATATATGAATCTAGCCAAAACTATGCCATAACTATAAAGAGGGGAAGGCTAGTACAGGAAGGGGGTCATGGAGCAAAGGGATGAAAGACATGAAGACTCATCCTTCATAGCCTGAATCCGAGGAGTGGATAAAGACTCAATCTAAAGATAAAATAAGGCAGGAAATGAGGAAAAAGAAAAAAACTGTTGAAGTGCATCCAAAGTTGCAGATGGTTAACATTCATTCCACTCACTTGGGAAAACATCTGGTGTGATCGTCTAATGGGTCATCACCTTCCTGCCATTTCTCTAAACACCCTCCACAGGAAAAGCACTGGACGATGTCCTTTATACCTAAAAGTAAGGAAACTTGATCAGTGCCACTGGCATGGGCATCTGTCCATTAACATGCAGATAATAACCACCAGACCTGTAATAGTGAAAGCCTATTCAGTCTCCAGTTGGGTTTTGTGACAGTCAGAAGTTGGTTACCAGTGAGGCAATTTTCTATATAAGACTCTGTCCACCAATGGGGTAACTGGCAAGTAGTCATTGAATGCTCCTACACACCATGCACTTTGATGCACACCATCCCTCTGCCCCATTCTCCTTTGATCAACAAACAGATTGGCAACCAGAATCTGGAATTGAAGCTCCATGAGGGGGCTGGGCGCAGTGGCTCATGCCTGTAATCCCAGCACTTTGGGAGGCCAAGGCCAGCGGATCTCCTGAGGTCAGGAGTCTGAGACCAGCCTGGCCAACACGGTGAAACCCTGTCTCTACTAAAAATACAAAAATTAGCTGGGCATGGTGGCACATGCCTGTAATGCCAGCTACTCAGGAGGCTGAGGCACAAGAATCGCTTGAACCCAGGAGACGGAGGTTGCAGTGAACCAAGATAACGCCATTGCACTCCAGCCTGGGCAACAAGAGTGAAACTCTGTCTCAAAAAATAAAAATAAAAATAAGCTCTATGAGGGTAGAGGTTTTTGCTCACTAATGAATGACATGAACCTAGAAAAGTGCTTGACACTCATGTGGCACTCAATTAGTATTCGTTTAATGAATGAATCAGAAAGAATATATTTAGAGCTCACGGAAAAAAAAATACCAGCAAATCTAGCAGCCCTTATGTAAGTGAATGCATGAAGAATTAATTGCCTCTTACCACATTATTGCCATGTTTATTACACCAGAAATAGGATTAAGTCTCTTTGTGAAATTATATTTCTTTGGAAAGAAATTGGTATTTAGCTCTGCAAAAGGATCAAACTAGAAACAGAGCATTTCTCATCTTCCTTCCACTCTGGGAAAGCTGGGGCAGAGGAAAGCCTCCCAGAAATATGAGATCCTAGAGCTTGCAAGATCTGAAAACAGTCAGAGATGATTAGGATTTGTGTGGAGTGGTGGAGGATTGGAAAGGAAGAGGGGGAGCACACTGGTCAGAGGGGTCTTGCGGAAGGCTGACAAGAGGAAGACACAGTAGAGTAGGGAGAAATGGCAAACACTCTTTCCAAAGGCTTAAGATTGTGAGGCAGTCAGATTTTTTTTTTTCCAATGGCACATGTCTGTTAGGTAGAGTGACAACTATATTCTGCTTCTCTGTGTTGCTCTATGGTATTTGTGACAACTACTTGATCTCTCAGTTAAAGATCTGCATTAACCTCCACTGTAACTTATGCATGTGTTCGGTTTGAGCAAGACCAGCAAGGTACCTAGGAACCTTTCCCTGATCATCTTGTATTTCAGGCAGAGATTTAGCTGACAGGAACCAGCCCATCATTTATAGATTGCAGAGGTGCTTCCTAATGACCAGCAGCTAAAGAGAAAATGCCACAATCTGGTGGAAGGCTCTACGTGTTTAGGAATCATGAAAATTAATTTCCTGATTTTCTCCTGCAGGCAGAATGTGGCAAAGATTGCTATCCATGTTCCTATTATCTCAAATCCTTCCATACTAATAGAAATCCCAATATTTAGCTGGGCACATTGTCACCCAGGAAAAAGATTAGGTTTCCCAGCTCCTCTTACAGCTAGGTATGGTCATCTGACTAATAATAATAATAATAATAATAATTATTATTATTATTATTATTATTATTATTATTATTATTATTTTTGAGACAGAGTTTCACTCTTGTTGCCCAGGCTGGAGTGCAATAGCATGATCTTGACTCCCCGCAACCTCCACGTCCCAGGTTCAAGCGATTCTCCTGCCTCAGCCTCCCAAGTAGCTGGGATTACAGGCACCCGCCACCATGCCTGGCTAATTCTTTGTATTTTTAGTAGAGACAGAGTTTCACCATATTGGCCAGGCTGGTCTCAAACTCCTGACCTCAGGTGATCCACCCACCTCGGCCTCCCAAAGTGCTGGGATTACAGGCGTGAGCCACCATGCCCGGCCCATCCAACTAAGTTCTGATTAAAGAAATATAAGCAGAAGTGTCCTGTGACAGTTTCTAGGAGCACTTTGTCAGGGGACAAGAGGTGAGGAGAGTAATGTGTAGAAAGAAAAGACATGATAATTATCACAAATAGAATACTTGTATTCATTGTTAGTCCAGACCTTAAGGTTTCAAATTTGAAGGTTTACCACCTAAGGGAGGAATAGAAAACTGGGAGAGGATTTATGATGCAGGAAAGAAAAGAGATGTATGCCAGGTGCAGTGGCTCACACCTGTAATCCCAGCATTTTGGGAGGCCAAGGCAGGAGGATTACTTGAGCCCAGGAGGTTGAGGCTGCAGTGAGCCATGATCTCGCCACTGCCCTCCAGCCTGGATGACCATGTCTCAAAAAAAATAGAAAGAAAAGAAAACGAATCTATAAGAAATGCTGAAGAGAGGCCTGGCGCGATGGCTCACACCTGTAATCCCAGCATTTGGGAGGCCAAGGCGGGCAGATCACGAGATCAGGAGATCAAGAGCATTCTGACTAGCATGGTGAAACCCTGTCTCTACTAAAAATACAAAAAAGTAGCTGGGCGTGGTGGCAGGCGCCTGTGGTTCCAGCTACTCCAGAGGCTGAGGAAGGAGAATCTCTTGAACCCGGGAGGTGGAGGTTGCAGTGAGCCAAGATCTGCATTCCAGCCTGGGCAACTCTGTCTCCAAGGGGGAAAAAAAAAGAAAAGAAAAAGAAACGCTGAAGCTAGTGGACATTGCTGAGTGTAGCTAAACGTAAGCCCAGGAGCATAAAGTCTATGTGGGAATTAAAGGTCAAGCAAGCAAGTGGGCACAACCTACTGACTCACCTGTGTAGAAAAGACCTGCTTTGGCCAGTGCTGCAACTCCCACAGCTGATTCCCGGGGCCAGTCCTTAAAAGAGTCCAGCCGTAGTTCTTCGTAAGCAAAGATGCTGTCATTGCAATAAGCTTGAATAAAAAGCACAAGGTGAGACCAGCAGGCTTTAGTCTTTTTTTTTTCTATATCTTTATTGCTGCTGCACAAATTAAAGAGACCAGTAGGCTTTGATATTGCAAGTATCAGCGTTCAAGTTGTCCCTTCACAGTTACAGATGGAATGATGTCTAGAGTTTGCTTCAAAATAAACGGGGCGGGGCGGGGGGGACGACAAAAAGAGATAGGGACAAAAAATCAAAAGAAGAAATAAACAAGCAAAGCCTTTGGAAAATGTTTGAGTTTTTACCTGATGCCATAGGTAATTCTCTCTGGACCCAGGAATTCACAAAATGTTCTCCCTGAGGGAAATTAAAATTCAAGTTGTTGATTATCTGACTTTTTTTTTTTTTTTTTTTTTTTGAGGCAGAGTCTCACTCTGTTGCCCAGGCTGAAGTGCAGTGGCAGGTTCTCGTCTCACTGCAACCTCCGCCTCCTGGGTTCAAGTGATTCTCCTGCCTCAGCCTCCCGAGTAGTACAGGCATGTGCCACCACACCCGGCTAATTTTTTTTTTTTTTGTATTTTTAGTAGAGACAGACACGATGTTGGAGGTCTTTTTTTTTTTTTTTTTTTTTTTTTTTTTGAGACAGAGTCTCGCTCTGTCGTCCAGGCTGGAGCACAGTGGCACTTGGCTCACTACAAGCTCTGCCTCCCAGGTTCACGCCATTCTCCTGCCTCAGCCTCCCGAGTAGCTGGGACCACAGGCGCCTGCCACCATGCCGGGCTAATTTTTTTTTTTTTTTGTATTTTTAGTAGAGATGGGGTTTCACCATGTTAGCCAGGATGGTCTCTATCTCCTGACCTCATCATCCGTCCGTCTCGGCCTCCCAAAGTGCTGGGATTACAGACGTGAGCCACTGCACCCGGCCCATGTTGGAGGTCTTGAGGCTGGTCTCGAACACCTGATCTCAAGTGATCTGCCCAGCTCGGCCTCCCAAAGGGCTGGGATTACAGGCATGAGCTACTGCGCCCAGCCTGATTGTTTGACTTATGAAGTATATACCTATCTATGAACAAGAACTGAAGGAACTTTACCCCAGAATGAAGAGTTTCACTGGATGGAACGGCAGAGTCGGAGGAGAATTATTCCTTTAATTTTTATTTCTGTTGATGTTGCAATTGTTTTTATGCAGTGCAAGCAAACATACACACACACACACACACACACACACACACGCATGCAAGCTGTGAATGTTTATGCATACTCAGGAGGAAGCCTTCTCAGGGTCACTGTTTCCGGAAACTGACCTTGAAAACAGACCTGCATTTAAATATCACAGATGTACTTTGACGAATGAGGAAGTAAGAGACATAGAATGGTAACTAAATTCATCAGGGTATTATATATTGAGCAACTGATTCTTCTGGGAAAGCTGCACCCAGTTTCTTTTTGAGGAAACACCTCTCTTCCCCCACTGTCAGGCCATGTTCTCTATAGAGTTCTGGTCTCCTGAGTCATGTTAATCAATAAATTCTCATTTTTGTTTAAGCCAGTTTGGATTCGATTTCCCATCACTCTCCACTAGGAAATTTTTACTGATTCAGGATAGTTAGCCAGCTAGGAAGAGCCAGCTCTGCAGCCCACTGTGGGTGACAGCGCCTAGGTCAGGAGATCTTAGCAAGCCTGCAGATAGGGGCAGCAGAGGGAAGCTGGGGCAAGTGGCTTCATTCATAAAGGGGAAGACTATCAGGAAGGCAAGCAGAGCCCGTCAGAAGCCAGCCCTGGAAAAAGAAAAAGGCTCTAGGTCAGCAAGTGAATGTGATATTTTTCACTTTGAAGATGGGAGCCAGGGGAATGAAAGGAGAAAGGAAGAAAGAAATCAAACCCATGACATAAAAAGAATGCCTATGCCCTTCTGAGTCAGACACTTACAGGTAATCCAAAAACTTGAGAAAAAAATTGCTGTTATACATTACCGTTATGTCAACAAATCCCTTGTAGCTTTGAATATACTGGGTAATTTCCTCTGAGGATTTCTTACTCCGAAGAAATTCACATCTGTAATTAATAAATATAATTAAAATTTACCCCAGTACTGTGATAGAGCTGTCCTATATCACAATGAACATTTATAAAGACGTATTGAATTGTTGAATTTTATTATACTTCAATAAAATTGCCAAAAAATTTACCACAAAACTTAGGAGAATTACCATTATTCTCATATAATTATTTGTTATTTCTATTAGTGACAACATGTGTAGTTATTTAAAATTAAATCTTCAGGTTAACTTTTTTCTTGAAATAAAACATGCAATACAATCAAAGAGACTGATTTACAGTAAATATAGGATGGAGCTTTTGTTTTTTGGAATTAAGCAGTGGTGACTAAATCTAGTCGCTAGGGTTATATGAAAGCTACTGGCAGTAAAGAGAACTATATTTAAAATAATAGGCCAGACGCAGTGGCTCACATCCAGGAGTTCAAGACTAGCCTGGGCAACATGGCAAAACCCCATCTCCACAAAAAATACAAAAATTAGCCGGGCATGGTGCCACACCTCTGTAGTCCCAGCTACTCAGGAGGCTGAAGGGGGAGGATCACCTGAGCCCGGGGAGGTAGAGGCTGCACTGAGCCATGATCAGGCTGCTACACTCCAGCCTGGGCAACAGACTGAGACCCAGTCTCAAAAGTAAATACAAAAAATCTTTTTAAGATAACAATATATTTATCTACTGAACAAAAAATTACCATGCATTAAAAAGTAATGGCTATTAGGCCAGGCGTGATGGCTCACGCCTGGAATCCCAGCACTTTGGGAGGCCGAGACAGGTGGATCACGAGGTCAGGAGTTCGAGACCAGCCTGGCCAAGATGGTGAAACCCTGTCTCTACTAAAAGTACAAAAATTAGCTGGGTGTGGTGGCGGGCGCCTGTAATCCCAGCTACTTGGGAGGCTGAGGCAGGAGAATCGCTTGAACCTGGGAGGTGGAGGTTGCAGTGAGCTGAAATCATGCCACTGCACTCTAGCCTGGGCAACAGAGCAAGACTCAATCTCAAAAAAAACCAAAAACAAAAAAAGTAACGGATGTTAATGGATAATTTTTGATTTTTTTAAAAAAGAGCACACTGAATACCATTTAAAAACATATTCCTTTCCCATAAAAGAGAAGCAGTTTTAAAATTAACTTTTAAAATTTCCTCCAATTCAGCTGGGCATGGGGGATCATGCCTGTAATCCCAGCACTTTTGGAGGTTGAGGCGGGTGGATCACTTGAGGCCTGGAGTTTGAGACCAGCCTGGTCAACATGGTGAAACCCTGTCTCCATCAAAACTACAAAAATTAGCCTGGCATGGTGGCATGCGCCTTGTAGTTCCAGCTGCTCTGGAGGCTGAGGCAGGAGAATTGCTTGAACCCGAGAGGTGGAGGTTGCAGTGAGCCGAGATCACGCCACTGCACTCCAGCCTAGGCAACGAGAGCGATACTTCGACTCAAAAAAAGAGAAGTTATCTCTAGGTAAGATCATGATGGAAATTTTCATCTTACTTTATACCTTTCACTGTTGAAATTATTTTACAGTTGAAGTAAAGGAAATTTTACAATATCCAACAAGAGCCGATGTCATTTATTTAATATCAAAATTAATATTGGAAAAATGTCTATACTTTAGGCTACCACCCATCTGCCTGAATTAATCAGCATTAATACTTAATTTTAAATATTACCTGTCAACGCAGGTCACTGAATGTGATCTCCTTTAAGGTATTATCATGTAATAAACTGCTACAAAAAGTCTAATTCTCTCAAGAGTTTTATAGTCATCCACTTCATTTTCAGGTCAACATTTTAACATATTTTCCCATATTTTTTTCTGAAGCTTTAATCTCTGCAAAGCCCATCTTTAAATTTGAAGGAAAAGGTAGAAGAGTGAGGAGCAGCAGTAATTAACTTGAATTTGGAACTTGGATATAACTAAAGACACATTTTGCTTCTTCATTTTTATGTCAGTTTGCAAAGGAAACAGTTATGATTTTAGCTAAATACAGAAATTTTTTTTTTTTCTTTTTAAAATTCTACTTGTATCCATTTCAAAACCTACTCTGAATTTTCACTCAGTTCCCACAATATTACCATAATTCTTTGAGCTGTTGGCAAAATGGATCCATTTTATAAAGTCATGCCTTTTGCATTGAGCTTTTGCCTGTCTCATATATTTAGATAAATTTGAAAGCAAAAGGAATATCCACTGTGTTGAATATCTTTAATAGCATGGTTGAAATTTATAATTTGAAATTCGTAAGTTCAAAGAACATTTATCTACTGCTTGATTTTATGCTTGAAACTTCCTATGCTTCACAGCAGTTTTTTTTTTTAATAGGTGGACAAAAATCCTTCCTCCTATCATTCATAACAATTTTCTTTATACTTAAGTAAAATATACAGAAACTTTTAAAGGAACGCCAAAATCTTGTTCCCTCTTATTGTTGCCACATTATTTTTATTATATTACCCAACCAGGTTTTTATGGTTATGCTTATACTCTCATACAAAACAGTTTTAGAACAAATATTGAAGGAAATGCAGGGTCACAAAATGAATAAGTTTACCTTAATAACATTAATATGAACAATGATATTATTTTATTGAACTTAAAGCACGCTCTTGAGCTTAAGAGCAAAGATGTAGCCACAGTTGAACTTGTATTTATTTGGGCTATATTTGTGCTTTTAATTACTCATACTAATACACAGGAAGCTTATTTGCAACAGGATATTTATATAATTTAAAATATTTTCAGAGTTTTTGTGTGTGTTGAAATGTTAGGAAAACAGAACTCATTCTTAAGCAATGATTTGCAAAGAGCAGTGCTCATATGCAGATTTTTAAGGCATAGCCCAAATGGTTAGAAATGCTGCAAAAGTTTAATTTTCTTTTGGGTGATCTGTTGTCTGGAAAAAGCTGTTACATGTAAAAATTTGGATGCTGAAATCAAATGGCTATACCCAAATGAGCAAGAATAGTTTAAAACATTTAAATCAGCATCTGCATAAAAATTAATATAAATATTATTTATGACTGTTATGTATATATGTATATATAATTATATTATGTATAAGAATATATTTATACAAATATATACTACTAGAAAATTGTATATGATGCACTATTTTATTTTATGTAATATTTTATGTATATATTTATTTACACATAATTTATATACTTTTAAGACTGTGTCCATTTTTCATTTATTCTTGGTCTCCGGTTTGAACAACGCTGCTTTATGGCATTACACTGATAATTCTCTCTACTCTTTAGTTCTCTTCCTTATCGCTTATTCATGTGTATCTTATTCCATGCTATAATGTAATGTACCATACATGTGTTGAATTTTAAAAAAAAATTAGCAGAATTTCAATGCTTTCCTATATTACTCAACATAAATATTCTCTATATAGAATGAATTGGAACAAGCTATTTTGAATCTGAAAGGATAATCAGTGATTCTACCAATCATAGTGGTAAACTCATTCAAACTCAGCCTGTTAAAATGAGACGCTCTGCCCTATATCACTGAAAACCTCTTGATTTGCCAGATTTTTCCCTTCTTTACAAATGAAAATGCTTAGTGTTTTCTGAGTTCCTTTGCACTATCTCCCACTGGATTCAGGTCATTGATTTCATCTTCAGAACACTTGGAAAGTTTATTTTGTGGTGTCTATGAGCTAATTTATTTTTATTGCAATGTTTATTTAAAATGAAACAATAAGTACACTGAAGTTTTGTGCATTTCATTTTATGAAAATGTTATCCCAAAGGGATACAGAAGAACTAAATACAAATTTTCAAAATTTATTGTTTTTTTTTGCCTGCTGCTATATCTGAGGTTGTACTTTTGTTCTGATCTTTGTAACACCTCAAAAAAAAAATGGGTTAAGAGAAGGATGAACAGAAGAATGGATATGAGACCTATCTGATAAGGCAAGCAGATTAATAGACGAATGGAGGAATGTTTGGATGTATAGGTATATATGTGTTCATTGCACACATATGGAGGAATGTTTGGATGTATATGTATATGTGTTCATTGCACAGTTTTCAACTTTTTGTGTTGAAATTTTTATAAAAAGAAGTTGGAGAAATAAAAAACAAGAAAACAGAACCATAAGATTTTTATTTAACATTTTTGATTAAAGGAATTGTATTGCAAATTATGACTTTTTAATTTGGCAACATCCTTTTAATGGTGTTCTTTCTTTGTCCTTCTCTTTCTCTTCCTCTCTCTCTCCCTCTCTTCCCTAAAGCTCCATTCCGACTTAGACAAGGGAGAGGGCACTGCGAAATACACCCTCTCAGGAGATGGCGCTGGCACCGTTTTTACCATTGATGAAACCACAGGGGACATTCATGCAATAAGGAGCCTAGATAGAGAAGAAAAACCTTTCTACACTCTTCGTGCTCAGGCTGTGGACATAGAAACCAGAAAGCCCCTGGAGCCTGAATCAGAATTCATCATCAAAGTGCAGGATATTAATGATAATGAGCCAAAGTTTTGGGATGGACCTTATGTTGCTACTGTCCCAGAAATGTCTCCTGTGGGTGAGTAGGCAAATCAAAATTCTGTGAGATACAATGAGACCTCTTCAACATTGACTTTTTGCAGGTTGATGTAAACATCTTATCTATCATCTAAAAGAATTATTTTTCAATTCTAGAAAATACAGTTCTTTTCATTTATTTTTGTAACTTTTTTGTTTTTCTTTCTGCTTCATTATGAAGATAACTACAGGAATATATAACATTAGTTCCTGTTTTCCACCCTGTGAATTTACCTGAATTCATAGAATCCTTGCGTGCTTTAAGCAAAAAATGTATTTTGTATTGAAATTGATTCTTATCTCAATTCCAGACACCTATACAGTGCTGGAGACACCTACCTTACACCACGAAATGCCAGACAGTAATTCCTAGATCAAAGTAAATGATCTAAAGCATGCATCACATCTGATCTGGAAGTGGTCCAGAAACAGGTGTGTTGCATCTTTTGTAGCTGTAAATAGAGATTCTGGAAGGGTGATACTGCTTCCTTTTCAGGGTAAATAACCCATACTTGTTATGCCATCAAGCCAAGCAGCAAATGAATAATGTCATGAAAACATTATTAGAACAAATTAACAAATTACAATTACAATTATCAAATTAACAATTAGACTATAGTAGCACCATCATTCTAAAAATTTAAATTTGATATAAATATACATTTCCATATCAGCCTAAATTTACAAAGTCCTATAATATGTAGGATATAAGGTCAATAAGTTAAGAATTCCAGCCTTAAGGACAATTTTAAATTATAATTTTTATTCCTCAGTCACCACTGCTAATCCTTCAATTTATTTCAAAGTAACTTCTGGTTTTTATTACATTTGGAAGATAAAGCAACTTATCACATGTAGGTTACAACTTAAAATTCGTGTATGAGCCATTGCTTATATTTTCTAAATCTGACATGACCCAGGGGGTTTCTACTGCTCCTACCACCACCCAGGACATGCGATGAAGATTGTGCACGCTACCGTGAGGGCAGAAGCAGGTTAGTAGCTGTAGGAGCTGTCACATGGATTTACTATAATGCACTTGAAATTGTGTATGTGACCTTATCAGGCATTTAAGGACCATAATCTCTCCTTGACCTAAGAAATCAGCTTGAAGTAATTCACTTAGATTTCAAATTTTAATGTGGATACCCAAGGCTGCAAATCTGTTATTCAGTACCTGCTACACTTTTGGGGTTGCCTCTTTTATGCACTGTTAGAATTGCTAGAAATTTAGAAGTCCAATTGGAAAGAAGCATATCTTGTTAGAAAGTATTCCCAGAAAATGAGGAAGGCTACATTTTAACTGTGTCTTGATTTTACAGGGAGAAAAATAAAGTTAATATTTTGAGGAAAAAATAAGGCTTTTAAGATGACATGCTATATAGTAGACAAATAGTTTAACTCGGTGCCTACTTCATGTACACTGGATGTGTTAACATGAATTTATGACCTTCAGTGACTTTTTATTACCAAAACAGCTTCCTTAAAGCAAACACACACACATGCCTCTACAGTATTGGAAAATTCCGTCTCCTTAGATAAAACAATTAGGATTTTTCTTGGGCCAACTAGAATAATTAGGGCTGCAGAGTTGGAGCCTTTATATAAGGAGTTTGCAGCTCATATCCGAAGAGAGAAATGTATTTGGAAAGTCAAAAGTGTAGGTAAGTGAGAAAGCAGAGTAGTTTCAGCTTTTGCAGTTGGAGTGGGTATAATTTACTGTGTTGTCATAAGATACTGGAAAGATCTTTGGAAGAATAGGTTCTTAAAGTGTTTTCTCATGTGCCCTTACTGAAATTTCCCATTGGGCCTTCAAGACAACTCCAGTAAATACTTAAATTGATTTTCAGTGCACTGCTTTCTTTCATTTTTATTTATTTATTTTGAGACTGGGTCTTGGTCTGTTGCCCTGGCTGGAGTGCAATGGCCCAATCTTAGCTCACTGAAGCCTTAAATTCCTGGGCTGAAGAGATCCCTCCACCTGAGCCTCCTTAATAGCCAGTCATGTGCCACCCTGCCTAGCTATTTTTTTTTTTTTTTTTTTTTTTTTTTTACTTTTTGTAGAGAAGGGATCTAGCTATGTTGCCCAGGCTGTTCTCAAGTAGTCCTGGCCTCAAATGATCCCTCCACCTTGGCTTCCCAGAGCACTGGGATTACAGTCATGAGCCACCCTCCTGGCTCCTTTTTTTTTTATTTTTAATAACAGAAGGGTATTTCTTTTGAATGTGAAATTTTACCACATGGTATGAATTAGTCCAAGTGTTTTTATACTAAATTTACATAATATACACTTTTCAAGTAAGTACAAAGAGGTATAAACACTGCTTATGAATTGAATGTTAAAAAATAAATCTCTATGCATTACTTTTGTCTTTCCCCATAATCTCACGTATACACATAAAACAAAAAACAAGGAGACCCAGTTATAGTTGTGGTATCTGCTGTTTCTGCCTTGAAATTTCCAGCTTACAGCTAAGCAACAACTACTGTGCATCCAGAACTTACATCTATGTTCCTAGAGTACTTGAACCCCATTCTCAAGTGCACCCTTCTTACCAGGTGGAAATAGTTCACTGCTGTAATAATCTAAGAAAACATTATGTTTCTCTCTACTTTTTTTTCTCTCATATAATCTAGGCAATTCTCCCTCTGTATCATTTTCCTGAGAAAACTAAAATAATTTTTAATCAAGACCAGATGGAACTTTGTATGGTATATTGACAGTATACCAATTGTTGTGACGAATCTTACTGCCTGTTGTAGATATCAGTGTTTGAAGTATTCCCTATGAAATAACTTTTCTGTCCCAATAATTGAGAGGGCTGTTTCATTTCCAAAAAAGGGAAGAATTAATCAATTAAAAATACATATAGTGAAATAACCTGTTTTGTAACATAAAACATAAGATGAAGAAATATCGGAACATTGATATGAAGTTTAACAGTAATGGATTATATATCCAGAAATATGAACAAATAAACCTGCAATGAAAATTTACTAATGTTACTAATTTTCACTTGTGTAACGTGAACATTACAAAGAACATAGTGTACAAAGGGAGAATGTTGGTGGGTAGGATGAGTCAAGATTTCAGAGGAAAATCAATATTTAAGACTTACAGCACTGTGGAATATATTTAATTTTCCTAAAGTTGAAGAAAATTTCAGTGAATCTATGAATTGTTTAAGACAAAGGTCACTCCGTTACTGACTTCTGCTACATCTAATTTTCCAGGGAAGTAATATTTAGAGATAAAAAGCTTTTACTCTGACCTCCGGAAATTACTTAATGATCCAGATACTCCCAAAGTCAAAGCAAATCCTTGGAGACAAGTTTGGACTTTATGAATGTGGACTTAATTCTTTAAGATCACTAGAGCAACAATAAATTACAGGAATGTACCCTCTTTATATCTGATGATTATGCATAAGTGGGGTGTGCAGTTTTAAGTTACTTTTCCTACAGTGCTGACAGGTTTAGAGTGTTAAATCCATACTCAACTTGTATTATCTTCCTCTGCTTGAGCTATGCCACCTTGAGTCAGCTGATTTGACTATTTATAATTAGATACCTAACCTATGATATGATATAGTAGATGTCAATAGTGACTCATGATTTATGTAGTAAGTCTTACCATTTTCTAAGCAGTAGTCAGGTGCCATGTGATCTAACTAAAGATTTGTATTTCTTATTTTACTTAACAATTACAGTAACCCCAATGCAGTATTATTCACTGTTGGATTTTTTTTAATGTGAAAACTTAATAACCCCTGTGGATAAGAAAGTAAGAATGATTCTTAGGTGCTTTAGGACCAAATTAATCAGAATTTAATATACCACTTTGTCTAGGTGTCATGGCGGCTAAAATATCTTTGAGAAAGTTAAACTTAGCTTTCAATCTCAGATGATCTACTTAAGAATTTGGAAAGTTTATATTATATTATTTGAGAATGGGGATTCTTGCTTAAACGAAACCTGAAGGACGGGCATCTTTCATTCAATATCTTAAAAAGAAAGTTTAGCTGACATTTAAATAAGAAAAGATACACCTAAAATAAAGTAGAACACTGGTTTAATAAAAATAGTGAACAGGTACTCCCTTGCCTTTCTATTTTTCTCTCAACTCTATTTTATTTTACCTGAAGTTTGGGGAGAAATGCTAAGATGAAATTTTTGGTGGAGTCTTTCAGAGGTTATTTAACCAGAGACTATTTTCTTTTTTCTTTTTTTTTTTTTTTTTTGAGATGGAGTCTTGCTCTATTGCCCAGGCTGGAGTGTAGTGGTGCGGTCTTGGCTCACTGCAACCTCTGCCTTCCAGGTTCAAGTGATTCTCCTGCCTCAGCTTCTCGAGTAACTGGGATTACCGGTGTGCACCACCGCACTCAGCTAATTTTTGTATTTTTAGAAGAGATGGGGTTTTGCCACATTGGCCAGGCTGGTCTCGAACTCCTGACCTCAAGTGATTTGCCTGCCTCGGCCTCCCAAAGTGTTGGTGTTAAGGACATGAGCCACAGTGTCCAGCCAACCAGAGACTACTTGTTTCGTGGCCATATTTAAACGGTCTAAGAAGGAAAAGTGAAGACTGTGTCTGTACTTTACATTAATGAACTATTACAATTTAGAAACATATATAAGTCTCCACACTTCCTTATTTTCACAAAAATGCCATAGAGAGACAAATTGAAACATAAAAAACTAGATATATTCTCTCATCCCATGAGCCAGCCATGGAAACAGAGAGCAGCTCAATTAGTAGCAGAGGAACAGGTGAATTATCATCCACTTCTATCTATGCCCTAAAAGCAGAGTTTTCTCAGAAGCTTGAAGACAGAATGTTGACTATTTATTTTCCACACATAAAGACATTCTCCTTGTGCAATCAAACTACAATGTTTAAAATCAGGAAATTTGCATTAATGTATTATTATAATCTAATCCTTCAGCCCTATTCAAGCATTAGCACTTGTCTCAATAGTGTCTTATATAACAAAAAGTTCAAGTTCAAAATCAAACATTGTATTAAAATGTTAGGTCTGTTTAGTTTCCTTTAATCTGAAACAGGTTCATATTTTTTCTTGGTTTCCGTGACTTTAATATTTTTGAAGATTTCTGCCTAGTTATTTTTTAGAATGGCTCTCCCATCTTGAGTATGTGTGATGTTTCCTCATGTATGAATGAAGCATATACATCTTTGTCAGAAATATCCCAGAAGCAATTCTGTACTCTCCTCATTATGTTCTGTTGGGTGGGCCATGGTTTTTGATTTGTCTCATTACTGATGATGGTTACTTTTATTATTTGATAAAGGTTGTATATAACTTATCTATTATGGCATAATACATTAGCTAAAACCTTAGCGGTGTAAAACAGCAGATACTTACGTTTCTCATAGGAATGGCTCTATTGAGTACCTCTGTCTCAAGGCTTCTCAAGAGTTTGTAGCTACCTTGTTGGCTGGGGTTGCGGTCTGATCTAAAGGCTTAGTTAGGGGGTGGTAGAAATCTTCCATATGTTCTTTGCTACGTGGACCTCACAGGCCTACATCATAACGTGGCAGCTGGCTTTCCTCAGAATGAACTACCCAAAAGAGAGCTAGACAGAGAGAAAACCCTCTGATTGAAGCCATAGTCTATTTATAACCTAATCTTGAAAGTGACATCACATCCCATCTGCCATATTATACAAGTAAGTGCAACGCGAATACAAGAAAGCCGGGATCATTGAGGGCTCTCCTACAGTCTACCTACCACTCTCTATACTCTGGCTCTCAATGATTCATGTTGCTCTCTCATGCAATATATCCTCATCCCCTTCTGAGGACCCCAAAATTTTCAACCCACTATAGCATCAGCTCAAAGTCCAGAAGCTTTTCATCTAAATCAAGTCCAGATGGGGAAGTGATTTTGGGTTTAATTCTTTTTTTTTTTTTCTTTTAGATTTTTTTACTTTTAGTTTTGGAGTACCTGTGCAGGATGTGCAGGTTTGTTACATTGATAAACATGTGCCAGGGTGGTTTGCTGCACCTATCAACCCATCACATAGGTATTAAGCCCAGCATGCATTAGTTATTTTTTCTAATGCTCCCCATCCCTCCCCTCCACCCCCCATCAAGCCCCAGTGTGTATTGTTCTCCACCCTGTGTCCATGTGTTCTTACCGTTCAGCTCCCACTTCTAAGAGACAACATGTGGTGTTTGGTTTTCTGTTCCTGCGTTACTTTGCTAAGGATAATGGCTTCCAGCTTCATCCATGTCCCTGCAGAGGACATGATCTCATTTCCTTTTTGTGGCGGCATAGTATTTCATGGTGTATATGTACCACATTTTCTTCATCCAGCTTTGTGATACTAAAGAGGCCAGTTACTTACTACACATTCACCAAAAATACAGTGGCAAAACAGGAATAATGTCTCTAGACATTCCTGTTGAAAAAAATGGGAAAATGCACAGACTAAAAGAATGATTGGTCCACCACATTTTAAAATCCCAGTGGTAAATGTTGCAAGTCATTTGATTATATTCAACGCCTGTGAATAATTATTCATGCCTCTCATCTCTGACCTCTAGGCTCTTCGTTCTGCCTTTTGAGTTATTCTTTTTTTTTTTTCCATGAAATACAGCTGGTACTTGCAATAGTACTTGGGTGTTGAACTTGTTAAGAGTGCATATCCTTTTTTTCAGATCCATCTATCATTTCCTAGTTGTATGTGGTTGTGTGGGTTATTTCTCCTCTTTTACATTGATTTTCTCACCTGCAAGTGAATAATAGTAACACTTTATGAGCAGGGTTATTGCAAGTAGCAAGGAGAAAATATATATTTACCATTTGCCACAATCCCTGGGGAAGTGCAGTCAATACATTGGAAAGGGTCCTCATAAGAGTTTGATGATCATTCTCAGAAATCTAGCCAGAGAAAGTCTAAATGGTAAAGGTTCCAGCTCATTATCTTCTTCCCTTTTCTCAAGTTTTCTCTCCATCTGACATGTGAGCTCAGTATTTACCATTGCCCTTTCTACAAATTTAACCAAGTTTATTTAAAAACATAATGACCTTCTATCCCAATTTACATTTTCTTTGGTGTAGAGGACGCCTTTACCTTGATGTGTGGAGACAAGCCGTTGATTTGTAAGAAACACCAATTATCAGCTTCCACTTGTGCTTCACAATCTGCTGAGTCGCTTTAACACTTTTGATGAAATTGAGCAAGGCCTTGTGATCTCTCCTGTGCCAGCCGTGAAGTGTCCACTGCACGCAGCTTGGCAGAACTATTTTCAGGGCCATAGGATGTTATGGCTGTGTGGGCAGGGAGCATTTTATTCGTCTGTTTGATTCCTATGTTTTTATTAGTGGTGCAATTGCAAAGGTAATGCTATTGACACTTTTTGTGTAGCCTTGAGAGAAGAGTATGAATTGTTTTAGTAGCAGCACAGCGTGTCCCTAAATATAAATCATGCTGTACTGATAGTTACTTTAGCAGCCACTGATCAGCAATAAATGTTAAAAATTAACAAGAAGTTTCTTTTTTTCGAAACCGCCAAATGACTCTAAGCATTAAATATATTTTAGCCGGAGTTGCTTCTCGGCCACAGAGTGGTTCACAACATTAAACATATTTTCAAAGTATTACTCCTTCCCCAGCCTCCAAGTGGTTGTAAACATTAAATATGTCTTATAAAAACTGCTTTGCCAGCTACTGGCAAGACAGCTATGAACATCATTTTTCTTTAAAGTTGCCTTCCAGCTGCGGGACTATTTTTCCTTATTTGCTCTATTCTATTTATATTTTGTACACAAAAGCAGGCAAGAGGCTACATTGGCCCAATTGTCTCTGGCTTTATGATAAGTGATCGTGGGAGAGCAGTTGCACCTCCGTAAAACCCTGCTGGCCACAGGAGCTTGCTGAAGTTCAATCACTGATACTGAATATTTCATATAGATGTCAGCTGTGTCTTCCAAAATAATTTTTGTTTTTCATTGTGCAATGTGTTGAGGCATAAAGATGGGCATGCATTAACATCAGCATTAAGAAAAATAACTTGAAGCAACCAGACACTGATGAATTATACCCACTGATTCAGGTGAAAATATTCCGTGAAGAGAACAGACTCAAATGGCAGGACTAGTATGTTAATGAGGTCTTTAACCCAAACATGATGAAAGACTTGGAACCTCTGTCTGGAAATCATCCAGTCTGACAACTGCATGCGATTCAAAAAGAGTGAAGAGTATGCTATTACATAAAGGTCTATCCAGGACTTAGAGCAGGAAATCTTTTCATTTTAACCAAATTCACAGTGAAAATAACGTGTGTCCCCTGAGTGAATTGAAAAATAAATTAGCTCTATCATCTCAGGCACAGTAATTCATCATCAGGCCAAATAATTAATTACTCAGGAAGGCTTTGATTTCTATGGGAGCCAAGTGTTCTCCAAATTGTGTAGTACTGTATCTTGCCAAATGTTTTATTTTAGGTGTATGTTCAACAGGTTCCAATATTCATCAATACCTACGTGACAGGCACTATTTTAGGTACTGGAGCTAGAACTTGAGCAAAAAAGACAAAAAGTCCTCCTCTCAGGAAGCTTTTACTCCAAAGGCCTCCTGCAGGGGCAGCAAGCTAAACTCTGTGAGCTAAATTCAACATATCATCTGTTTTTATTGGAACAGTTACACTTATTCATTTCTGTGTTGTCTATGGCTGCTTTCACACCACAATGGAAGAGCTGGCAACAGAGACCATATGGCCTGCAAAGACTAAAATATTTACTATCTGCTCCTTCACAGAAAAGTATGTTGACCCATTACATAGTGGATTGAGTTTGAGAGAGGAGATTAAGGTAAGGCCAACATTTTAAATCGACCTATGAGGAAAAAGTGTTTTTTTTCTCCCTAAAAATTACCTCTTCCAAAAGAAAACAAAACACAAAAAAACATAAAAATAAAAAGAAAGAAAATGGCAAGACCCAAGGTAAAATGAAGGGTAAAAGTGAGCACCACACTAATACATATGTATCAGCGTGAAATCAGATGCTGCCATTTAGTTCCTGCTGAAAGTGTTGGTTTGGCTTTATTAAAATAACTTAAACACAGTCTTTCAATGTTATAGACTCATGGTAAAGGTTTCTTTTTCCTTTTGTGAATTTTTAAAAATTTCTCTGCAAAAATTATTCCTCACACAATTATGTAACTTTATATTTTCGATTAAAACTAAAACTAAAAATGTTGAAAGAACAACTCGATATTGGATTAAAATATTCATTTTCCATCTTCATTCTCAGGATTCATATTTGGTTGCCTCATTGCGATATAAGTATGTTGAAAAAAATGGAAAATTGCTGAAAGCAAAAATTTTAAAACTCACCAGTATTAATAATTATCACCAAATAACTATTACAGAAAACTTCCTCAGAAAGTAAAATTAGAGTGAAGGTATCACAGGTTGGCACTATTTTCATTCCCGACCAAGAAACTGACACCTGAAAATTAAAAAAAAAAAAAAATCAGAGTCTACAGTTTTACAAATAATTAACAAAATGAACATCAAAATAGGGTGCAATTTGTTTAATTGGCAAAGGCACACAACGAAAAAGAAATATGTCAATTAAACTGTCAACCATGTTAATTTTGCCTCTGAGAAAAACATTGTAATGGGATAATTTCACGAAATGCTTTGATGACAAGAAAATGCCAAAATATGATTAGCTACTTCAAAATTCAGCTGAAACAAGAAAGCAATTGGTGGCAGCCAGAATAACCAACGGTCTTTTTTTTAATATACCTTTTTCTTTCCGTCTCTTTTTGCCTGTGTTTAATCAACAGCGTACATTTTGTTTGACAGTGAAATGATTCATAATGAAAACACTGGCATCACAAAAACTTAGCAGAAACTTTGCTATAAGATTAGAGTATACACTTCTATTTTCCCCAAACTCTTTAAAAATATAATTACTATTTCTGAAAGAATTTGTTATCTTTATGAAATAATGTATTTTTCTTACTAGCATTAAGTGCTTATTTAGCTAAAAGCCAGAATTAGAAGCAATTCACTCATATGAGTATGTTTATATTTATATTGTCAAATATATTTACTTAGAATTTAAACCAAGATATATTTTATTTATTGTTCTCATCACTGCCTGTTAGTCAGAATGGATATTTTAAATTTTACCAGGTCATGTAAATTTTACTAACTATGTTTCTTATTCCTGTTTGTTTAGAAAAATAATCTAGTCTATACCTAAGCTAACAAATAATCCTAAACATTGAAAATACACACATGATTATGAAGAATTCACTTTCTAATAAGTTTCAGCTTTTTACAAATGGCTGCTTAAATATAATGCATAAATATGACGTATTTTTAAAAATACATCTTGTTTATGCATTACTTGAACCATAACTAATCCCCATTTCCAGTCAAAAAGAACACTGTCTACATATGTTAATCTCTAATACAACAAAAGCAGGCTTAGCTTAATGGGAAACTTATTAGAGTAAAATAGTTCTTTTTATTTTGTATTTTATTTTATTATTACAATAAGAAGATTATAATTTGGTAACTAGCAGGAGAAGAAAGACTTCCAAAGATTATTTTATGGGTCCATGTATTTGCTTTTCCTGAGGGTAACTAGTGCTAATTCTAGAAAGGCAGAATGCTGTAGGAAAAACAAAATAAGCCCTGGAGTACAAAAGATTTGGATTCAAACTTTGAAGAAGGATGGGGAAGTGTTTAGGAAAGTGCTTCCCTGTGTAAAACTTAGCTGGTAAGTACCATATTTCACTGAAATTGCTGTTATAATAATTGAAACAGATTATTATTGGAAAAACAACATCAGCAAAACTAAACCCTAGATGAGTTTAAATAAGTGCCAGCCATTTTTCTCCTGTGGGGATTTAGAGTTGAAGTGGGTATCTTCGATTACTTTTCTTTATCCTCATTCTTATTCTTATAATTTTTCCTAATAAGTCACCTAAGAAGGGCATTTAAATAAGTGCTAGCCTTTTTTCTCCTATGGGGATTTAGAGTTGAAGTGGATGTCTTCAATTACTTTTCTTCTCTATTCTCGTTCTTATTCTTATAATTTTTCCTAATAAGTCACCTAAGAAGGGGATTCTAGAAACATCTCTTTCCAAGAATACATATTGTTTTAAGAAATATCAGTTACCCCAAATACTTGAATAGAAACTAGGAAAACAGGAGAGGGAGATTATAGGTGTAAACAAGGAATTACTGTGCAGTAATATGTGTAGTGGACGTGAAAAGTAATGACTTAACAGTTTGAATACACAAAGATGGACCAAACAAATACATTTATTTCTCCTTTATTCCAAATTGCCATTGAAATAGGAAAATATAGTACTTATTAAAATAACTATGGAAAGTTGAGAAGAATTCTACCAACAGACTAAAGAGTAAGCAATTTCTGAAGGACATAAGTCATATCAGAGGCACTTTAGTCTTTGGCCATAATAGAATTATTGGAGGGACTTGCCTTTTCACTATAAACAATGATAAAACTGGGCAACATATATGAGGAACCAGATTTTATGCATCAAACAAGAAGTACAAGTTTTTCATACTCAAGAGAGAAGAAAGCTGTGAGGTAAGTACCACATTTAACCAGAGAATGTGACTAGGGGCACTTTTTCTCCCATTAAACAAGGAGGCAGACTCTAAAAATAATGAGTTTAGAGGAAGAAATTAAAGCTTAAAGCTCTCATTTTGTAGGTTGTCTGCTTATTTGTTGATAATTTCTTTTGCTATGCAGAAGCTCTTAGTTTAATTAGGTTCCAAAAAGAGGTAGGGGTAGAGGGACAAGAGCCAAGGAACTTCCTGTTAGGTATTCAGTTCACTACCTGGGTGACAGGATCAGTGGAAGCCCAAACAGTAGCAGCAAGCAATATAACTTTGTAACAAACCTGCACATATACCCCCTGAATCTAAAATTACAATTAAATCTCTATCTATATCATCTCTCTCTCTATCTATCTATCTATCTATCGATATTTGTAAATAGCTTACACTTGCTTAAGTGGTTGTTATTTAAGAGCTGCTGAAGTGGCTGAAATTTGTATAGGAAAGGAAAAAGAGGCATGGGGTAGGCCTACAGAAGCCAGAATAAGTATTTGGCACCAATTTCGTCAAAAGCTGCTCTATACCTGAGCAGGGTTAACATCTGCAAGACCTGCTGAAAGCAGATACTGTGGGAATAAGATATCAGTAGTAACAGGACAAGGAGATGTTTGGGTTACTGACTAGCCACAGGGAAGATATTTTACGGAATATTCCAGGCATTAAGAACAAGGACTATTTCTTTCAGTAAAGACTATGTCCTATCTTTAAGAACAAAAATGAAAGAGATTTTCATTAACAAATAATGAAACCAGGCATGGCAGATCAAAAGGATCTGGAAGCCACTTAACAGCTTTCAAAGGACTATCTTAGGGCCTTTTACAAGAAGACAACGTCTAGATTTTCTACAGTGTATTAGTCAAAAATACAAGTTACGCAAAGAAGCAGGAAAATTTAATAAATAATCAAGGGGGAAAAAGCAGTCAATAGAACATACATCATAATGACCCAGGCATTGAAATCAACAGATATATATTATGAATATGTCCTTAGACTATGGAGATATTGTCACAATGATAGAACAAAAAAGGTAATTTTGAGAAATGAACATTGTTGAAGTAACAAGTGCAAAATATACAATGAAAGAGTCACTGGCAGGGTATACTCTCAGATTTCAGCTCTCTGAAAAGCAGACAAATAACCTTGAAAACCATTTTTGAATTTATCTAATCTCAAACAAAAGAGGAAAATGATTAAAATAAGAGATTGAATGACATGGGATATCAAGCCATCAAACCTATACACAAATGAAGTCTCAAAAGGATGAGTCAGAAAATGGGAAAGAAAAAATATATTTGAAGAAATAATTGCCAGTGTTTTCAAATTTTGATGAAAAATTTCAATGCAGAGATCCAAGAACATCGAATCAACAAGAACACATGTATGAAGGGTATAAAGCCAATAGCATAATTAAAATGAAATATTGAAAAATATCCATTTACTCTAAGGAAGGTAACACTGAACCGGTGAAGAAAGAAATATCAACAACCAAGGGAAGAGAACAACACCCAAATAAGAAAATAGTAGGCAAATAGTAACATGGTAGATTTAACAACACTGACATCACTGATTAAATGTAAATGGATTGAACATTTATATTAGTTTCCTAGGGTTATATAACAAAGTACCATAAACTAGGTGCCTCAAGCAACAAAAATGTATTATCTCAAGTCCTGAAGGCTAGAAGTCTGAATTCAAGGTACTGGTTCCTTCTAAAGGCTGTGAAGAAGAATCTGTTCTAGACATCTCTCCGTGGCTTTTAGATGGCTTTCTTCATGTTCATATGTTGTGCTTTCTGGTGGCATTTTTGTGTCCAAATTTCCCCCTTTCATAAGGCCACCAGTCACATTGGATTACAGGCCACTCTAATGATCCCATTTTGACTTGATTACATCTATAAAGATCCTATCTTTCAATAAGGTTGCATCCTTAATTACTGGGGTAAGGACTTCAACGTATGTTTTTTTTGGCAGACAATTCAACCCATAACACACTTAAATTAAGAGCTAGCAATTTTGAGACTGGATTTAAAAAGGACAAAACTATATGCTCTGTATAATGAATGCATTTTTTTTTTGAGATGGAGTCATAAAATTGGTTGAAAATGAAAGGAAGTAAAACTGATGTAGCTGGCTAATACCAGAGAAAGTAGGATTCAAAATAAGCTGAAATATCAGAGATGGAATGATAAAAGGTTAAGCTCATTAGCAATGCATTATAATTCTCAATGTTTATACAACTGATAACAGAGTGTCAAAATGCATGAAGTAAAAACAGACAGAACTAAACAGAGAAATAGACTTTCACTCATAGTTGAAGATTTTAATCATCGGCTCAAAATAAACAATAGATGAACAAATAAAAATTAGTAAGGATTTGGAAGATTCTAATAATACTATCAACTAATGTAGTCTAATTTCAAGTTTTAGAACACTACACAAAAAATTTCATGAAAATATTTTTATCAAATTTACATGGAATGTTTACGAAGGACTGTGTAGTCTCGGTCATTAAATAAGTCTCAATAATTTGCAAAAGATTAAAAATTATCTTCAGAGGTGAAACAATGGTTTTTGTGTTGATTGAGATATTGATTAAATATGTACATTTGTGAAAACTTACTAAATTGAATGCTTAATTTCTGTGCATTTTGCTGTATCTCAATTCTAATAGAAAGACAGGCAAACATATAAATACCTATTACAGACATACCTACACACACACACGTGTGTGTGTATGTGCGTGTGTGTATGTGTGTGTATAAGTCATTTGCATATATACTGGCAGTGAATCCCAGTAAAGGTGAGGAATACATATTCTCACACTGGTAGAAATGATGACTTTTTACAGTCTGATTTTTTTTGTGTTTTAATCCAGAAATAATCCCAAAATTAGAGATACAAGGGAATGGTAATTGGTCCATAGAATAAGAACTGTCCAAGAAATTTATAGCACATGACTCCCTGTCCCACGCTCAATTGAGGTTTGTTTTATGTCTTTGCTCTGGGAAGAAAGCCCCCAGTTTAGCTTTCTAAATGATGAGTTCAGAATCTACTCACAAGCATTAGAGATTAGTAAAGTTCCTTGTATTCAGTAGAGTTCCTTGCAACAAGCATGAGCAGTAGAGATGCTGCCACTTTCAAAAGACTTACATATGGACCACTGAAAAGAAAGGCATTATGTGGTCAATTTTAGAGCATGTGCCATGTGGAGATGAGAAGAATGTATATTCTGTTGTTTTTGGATGGAGAGTTCTGTAGATGTCTATCAGACTCATTCGGTGGAATGTTGGGTTCAGATCCTGAATATCATTGTTAATTTTCTACCTTGATGATCTGTCTATGACTATCAGTGGTGTGTTAAAGTCTCCTACTATTATTGTGTGGGAGCCTCTTTGTACTCTAAGAACTTACTTTATGAATCTGGGGGTTCCTGTGTTGGGTGCATATATATTTAGGTTAGTAAGGTCTTCTTGTTGAGTAAAACCCTTCATCATTATGTAATGCCCTTCGTCTTTTTTTTTTTTTTTTTTTTTTGAGACGGAGCCTCACTCTGTCGCCAGGCTATAGTGCAGTGGCATAATCTCAGCTCACTGCAATCTCCGCCTCCCGGGTTCAAGTGATTCTCCTGCCTCAGCCTCCCGAGTAGCTGGGACTACAGGCACACACCACCAAGCCCAGCTTATTTTTTTTTTTTTTTTTTTTGGATTTTAGTAGAGATGGGGTTTCACAATGTTGGCCAGGATGGTCTCGATCTCCTGACCTTGTAATCCGCCCACCTTGGCCTCCCAAAGTGCTGGGATTACAGGTGTGAGCCACCACTCCCGGCCCCTTCTTTGTCTTTTTTGAACTTTGTTTGTTTGACGTCTGTTTGGTCTGAAATTAGGATGCAACCCCTGCTTTTTTCTGTTTTCTACATGCTTGGTAGATTTTCCTCCATTCCTTTATTTTGAGCCGATGGGTGTCATCACATGTGAGATAGGTCTCAAAGACAGCATACCATTGAGTCTTGCTTTTTTATTCAGCTTGCCCCCCTTTACCTTTTAAGTGGGGCATTTAGCCCACTTACATTCAAGGTTAGTATTTGATATGTGTAGATTTGATGCCCTCTCTCATGACTCCTATTCAACATAGGAAATCCCAGCCAGAGTAATCAGGCAAGAGAAAGAAATAAAGGGCATCCAAATAGGAAGAGAGGAAGTAAAATTATCCCTATTTGAAGCTGACATGATTCTATATCTAGAAAACCCCATAGTCTCAGCCCCAAAGCTCCTTCTGCTAATAAAAAAAACTTCAGCAAAGTTTTAGAAAGAAAATCAATGTACAAAAATCACTAGCATTTCTATAAACCAACAGTAACCAAGCTGGCAGTCAAATCAGGAAGGCAATCCCATTCACAATTTTCACAAAAAGAATAAAAATATCTAGGGTAAAATACAACTAACCAGGGAGGTGAAAAATCTCTACAATGAGAATTACAAAACACTGCACAAAGAAATCAGAGAGGATACAAACAAAATGGAAAACATATCATGCTCATGGATAGGAAGAAGCAATATCATTAAAAGGCCATACTGCACAAAGCAATTTACAGATTAAATGCTATTTCTATCAAACTACCAATGACATTCTTCACAAAACTAGAAACAACTGTTTTAAAATTCATGTGGAACCAAAAAAGAGGCCAAATAGCCAAGGCAATCTTAAGAAAAAGAACAAAGCTGGAAGCATCAGGCTATCTGACCTCAAACTATACTACAGGGCTATGTTAACCAAAACAGCATGGTGCTGGCACAAAAACAGGGACATAAACCAATAGAACAGAATAGAGAACCCAGAAATAAAGCCACACAGCTATGATTATCTGATCATCAATAAAACTGACAAAAACGAGCAATGGGGAAAAGACTGTCTTTTCAATAAATGGTACTGGGATAACTAACTAGCCATATGCAAAAGATTGAAACTGGACCCCTTCCATACACAATATACAAAAATCAACTCAAGATGGATTAAACACTTAAATGCAAAACACAAAATTAGAAAAACCCTGGAAGACAACCTAGGCAATACCATCCTGGACTTAGAACAGGCAAGGATTTCATGACTAAGATGTCAAAAGCAATTGCAACAAAAGCAAAAATTCATAAATGGGAACTTCATTAGTCCATTTTCACACTGCTATAAAGAACCACCAGAGACTGAGTAATTTATAAAGAAAAAGGTTTAATTGACTTGAAGTTCAGCATGGCTGGGAAGGCCTCAGGAAACTTACAATTATAGGAGAAGGTGAAAGGGATGCAATGCACCTTTTTCACAAGGCGGCAGGAAGGAGAAGTACCAGGCAAAGCTGGGAAGACCCCCTCATAAAACCATTAGATCTCGTGAGAACTCATTCACTATCACAAGAACAGCATGGATGAAACCACCCCCAGATTCAATTACCTCCACCTGGTCTCTCCATGTGGTGATTATGGAGATTATAATTCAAGATGAGATTTGGGTGGGGATACAAAGCCTAAACATATCAGGATCTCATTAAACTTATTAAGAGCTTCTGCATAGCAAAAGAAACTATTGACAAAATAAACAGACAACCTACAGAATGGGAGAAACTATTTGCAAACTATGCGTCTGACAAATGTCTAAAATCCAGCACCTATAAGGAATTTAAACAAATTTACAAGAGAAAAACAACCCCACTAAAATGTGGGCAAAGTACATGAACAGACACTTTTCAAAAGAAGACATACATGTAGCCAACAAGCATGTGAAAAAAAAAAAAAACTCAATATCACTGATCATTAGAGAAATGCAAATTAAAACCACAATGAAATATAATTTCATACCAGTTAAAATGGCTACTATTAAAATGTCAAAAAATAACAGATGCTGGCAGGTTGTGGAGAAAAGGAAACACACATTGTTAGTGGGAGTGTAAGTTAGTTCAACTATTGTGGAAAGCAGCATGGCAATTCCTCAAAGAGATAAAAGCAGAACTACCATTCCAACCAGCAATCGCATTACTGCATATATACCCAGAAGAAAATATATCATTCTACCATAAAGACACATGCACACAAATGTTCACTGCAGCAATATGCACAATGGCAAAGACATAGAATCAACCTCAATGCTCATCAATAAGAGTTTAGATAAAGAAAATGTGGTATATAGACACCATGGAGCTATAAAAAAGAATGAGATCACGTTCTTTGCAGTAACATGGATGGAGCTGGAGGCTATTATACTGGGCAAATTAACACAGGAACAAAAAACCAAATACTAGAAAATACTGCATGCTCTCACTTACAAGTGGGGAACTAAATTATGAGAACACATGGACACAAAGAAGGGAACAGCAGACACTGGAGTCTACTTGAGAGTGGAGGGTGACAGGAGACAGAGGAGCAGGAAAAATAATTGTTGAGTACTTGGTACCTAGGTGACAAAATGATCTGTACAACAAACCCTGATGACACGAGTTTACCTATATAACAAACTTTCACAGGTACTCCCAAACCTAAAATAAAAGTTAAAAAAAAAAGAAGAAAGCAAGCCCAAACCCATGCTGTACCACATGGCAGCATGGCATTGCAATTTTCAATTACTTGGGGGAAATAAAGATTCTCATGTGATTAGAGGAAATAATCTTTATTTAATAATAATGCTTAATAAGAACACTTGACAATAGATGGCTGAGAAAACCAAGAATCACCAAATATTTAAATAAAAATAAAAAATAAAGAATATCCTATCTATGAAATGATATAAACACTAAGAAAATAGAATTAACAGAAGAAACTAAAGAAAATGTCAATAGCCTTGGTGTCCATACAGGAATAGGAATCACAAAAATAACCATAAAATATTTTTAAAAATACCTTTTACGAGCAATACTCCAGAATGTCAGAAATTAAAAATATCATTAGCAAAATAAAATGTAGTAAACAGAATAAATAATATAAAAGATAAAACTGATGTCTAAAGATTACCCCAGAATCTGAACTGCATGAGGGGGAATAATAATTACATTACTGGATATGAGAACAACTATTTAATAGACACATCTACTTGGATGACAATGCTTTTTTTTAAATGTCAAATTTCCAGTTTATTAATTTTAATACATTTCTGATCAAAATTACTCATTTCTTTTTGTGCCCTTATTTTTTGCATTAATTTTCATTTTTTACATCTCCATGCTGAATTGAAAAAAACTTCTACTGACCTGTATTTCAGTATATTAATTATTCCTTCAATGGTATCTAATCTGGTGGTAAATTATCTATTATATTTAATTTAAGTAATCACATTTGTATTTTAAATGTTTTGCTTATTTCATCTACAATATAATACTAACACAGTTTTTTCTCTACAATTAGTTTAAGCTTTTAACTAAATTTTTAAAGAGTAAAATATTTATTATCTTTCTCTGATATTGTCCAATGTTTGAAGTCTTTGTGGTTCTAATTATGTTTCATGTTGTTTTTGTTGATTTTAACTTATTTTGCCTTGTTTCACTGTGTTCTTGAGAATATTGTAAGATTTAGCTTCAGGGTATTTTTATAAAGCATTCAGATTTGCTTCTCCCTAACACCTGGGCATACGAGTAGGACCACCTTAAAAAAATGTTCAATTTTTGAGATTACCTGAGTCACGCAGTCACACAAACCCAAGTAGTGGATCCAAGCTACCACTGCTTTAGGTCTGTCTGGTTCACCTTATGCTGAGGGTATAAGATTTGGTCATCTCAATCTTTTAAGGGAGGGCTCCTTAAGAAGACTTAACATATGCTAATCTTCGGTTTTGGTTTCTTTCTCATTCACCCTGAAACTGTCAAAATAAATATTAATATTTGTAGAGATCGGCAAATTGCAACTGGTAAGGTTATATCCTTACCTCTCTGGGTTCTTCTTTTCTCTTCAAATTTGGTTTGATCACTTATTAAAATTTTATAAGCTCTCAATGCTTTTTAAAAGGTGTTTTAAATGTGCAATCACTAGCATTTTTTAAAGTTTTTTCATTGGGAATTATAGTCTGAATAATATCCCACCATAACTAGAAAATGAAATACCTACCTATTACAAATGCAATACATTTTATATATTGAGTAATTTGCCTTTTTCTAATTAATTTTATTTTAAAACTCATATTAAAATCTATATTTTATAAGAAAAAAAAAAGCTTGACATTTGATTAAGACCAACTTAGCTTCACAAATCTCTACCCGAATGACCACAGGCAAGTGATCTGACATTTGCAAGTGCCTATTTTTTTTTTTTCATTTATAAAATGGAAATACATAACTGAGCTTAATGTGGATCAAAGAAATTAATATGTAAAAAAAATCAAACACAGAACCTGAAAATGATAGGAAGTCAATTATTCAGCCTACCTATCCACTACTAAAATAATTCTTGGTTATGAACTTCACAAGGGAACACACTGTATTACTACTCTACTCAATAACATGAATTTCATTGTGTATCTTCTGGGGCAAGTGCTTCTTCCAAACAAATTAAACCATGCCACTCACACAATGTTCATCTATCTCATAAGTTTTTGCTATTCTCCTGTTGATTTTACATTTAATGAGGGATAAATTCTATTTTCACAATCATAATCAAATAGTACCTAGAGAATAAAAGCTACTAAGACAAGACAACCCTCAATTCAATTAATAACTAATCCCTCTCTTTTTCAGAGGTACATCAGTTGTTCCTCCAGGATTAAAACCCCTCCTGTTTTACAATAAAAAAGCAGACAGATGACAGGATCTCATTAAACATCTATTGTGCACCCACACAAAAAAAATTAAGTAGGCAGATGCTCTGATTATTTAAAGCAACACACAGAGTTTTAGGATGAAGTTTTATTTCTGAATTTTAACTTATGCACAACTTGTAAAATGTTACTTCATTTATAAATAAAGCAGCACTAACTTGGTAACTTGGAATCACTGTATTTTTCTTCATAAAGAATAAAGTCAGGATAACAGTTAGCTCTCTTTGTTTCTGAATAATGATTCAACATTAATTTAGATATTAGAAGCTCTCACATGCAAGTGTGTGTGCATGCACTCACACACACTACTCTGAAGAGGTAGAATATGAGGAAATAAGATACACATACACAGAGAAGGAATATGTAACATTTAATTTTAACCTCAATGACAGGAGGAGGAGCACCAATAATCTAAAAAAAAAAAAGAAATCCCAAAAGTTTTGGATTAGCTGCCTCTCTAGCTAAGTATATATTTTATTGCTAATCAATATGGCATGACCAAAATTATAGCAATGAAAATAGTCATAATTATCATCAAGTAATGAAAATAATATTTATGTGCTCAACAGTATTACTTATATATTCTGATTAAATCATGTGCTATTGAAAGCAGGATGAAGTAGAGCTTATTTTATATCTTAGAATTCTTTTCCATCAATGTCAGTTTAGGAAATGAAAGTTATTAGAATTTCAATGTAATTAATTCATTTGCAATTGGTGTCTATTTGGTTATGTATTTTTTCATAGATATAGTCTGAGAGACATTATCTGGTAACTTTTATCATGTCTCTGAGAAACCAATTTTCTGTAAGGCCTAATTTTTTTTCTTAAATAAATATGTATCTGCTCATGCATATACCAACTTCATGGATTCCAAACAATAAAAAAGTTAATTGTAAGGATTGGACAGAATCTACATTTTAAATGCTATTTAAAACATTATCACACTGTAGTGGAGGAATCATAAACTGCAGAAGTTTTTCAACCATGCCACCACAAACTACATCTCTACAAAATGTTTTGTACTTTTACTTTAAAGAACTAAAATTGGAAACAAAGAGTGGAGAATTATTTCTTCCCTTTCTCTTCCCTTCATCCTCATTCTAGCACCAGTCATACCTGACCATGATTTTTAAAGAGTATAAATTACTCCTCTTCTCAGAGGTAGAAATACACAGAAAAATACACAAAAACCAAATTCTGTCAAAATATATTTAAAGAGGTTTATTCAGAGCCAGTATAAGTGACCAAGGCCTGGGTTACACTATCTCAAGAGGTTCTGAAAGCGTGCCCAAGGCAACCGGGTTACACTTTGGTTTTATACATTCCAAGGAGACAACCAACTGCAGGTAATTGCAGGTAGGTCAGGGTAGGAGCTTGTACGTCATAAGGGGCTTTTAGGGATCCTTTAGTTGACAATTGGTTGAGAGAGTTATGCTATCGTCTAAAGTCTTGAAATCGATAGAAAGGAATGCCTGAGTTCAGATAAGAGTGGGGGAAAGACCAAGGATCTTATTAAGTAGATGAAGCCTCATAGGTGGCCCTCAGAGAGAATAGATGGTAAATGTTTCTTTTCAGACCTTTAAAGGTATCAGACTCTCAATCACTCCTAGGTCCTGGAAAGGCATAGAAAGGGGAAGCATGGCTGCATTAATGAAGATTCTCCATAGATGCAAATTTCCTCTACCTCAGTTTGCTGGCCTTGCAACAGCCATTTCAAAAGACATCAAAGAAATATATTTTAGGGCAAAATATTTTTATATCCTTCAGGGTCTGCTGTCTGTTATGTGATGCTGTACCAGAGTCAGGTTGGAAAGCAAGCCACATTATATAGGGTTAATAAAAAACCCATGTAAAGAGATGTTATCATTCGTAGGGCTGACTCCCAGTTTCTTTAAATAGGAATTTGGGCAAGATGAAAAAAAAAAATCAGAATTTAGTCCTCAACTCAAATATTTTATTCATTCAAACGCTTATTCAAACTACCGAATCCTCCAATAACAGAAAGTATAGTGTCCATCCTGAAGACTTTCATCCCATCTCACAGCATGTTTTCTCCTAGTACACCCTGATTGTCCAAGGACTTCTGAGAACACCATTCCAGAAGAGGTCATGATCTCAACAACTGTCACAGAAAGAAAGAATACAGGAAGACAAGATGCGAAAGTTATGTCAGTGGCTTTCATTCATCACACCACTACGTACTGGTTCTCTAGTACTGTGCTGTTATGATCCTCCTGACTTTTACCCTGTGAATATCCTAGTGCTTTTATATCAGTCTCACATCCTCAACACGCTGGTTTCCATAAAAATGCAACCAAGTCAGATGGCTGTGATCTGGTGGGATTCTAGTTCCATTTGCAGCCTCCAAAGCAGTCTTTTACCTAAGAACACTCAGGCCTCCAAGGTTAAGATAACAGTATACTCCAATGCAAAATTCTCTACCTCCCTACTTCAGGTCCCAGGGACTCTCAACTGCCAGTCACTCTTTGAACAATAAGAACAGACACTTAAATGATGATAACTAATGGCAGCAGCACTAATGTAAGAACGCTGGAACTATTAGTACTCTCATCTTCCAGATGAGAGAACTCAATAACATGATTTACATAAACTGCCTGAAGATACAGTAGAATAATAATAATGAAATCCAGGCATTGTGGACCTGAATGCTGCTACCTAGCTACTCCTCTTTGTGGCTTCTCCATTGTCTTTTCCTGCCAGTTCAGTTCTAACAGGAATAAACAGACGCTATTCAAAAGCTTTTCAAGTCTGAATGAAGATGTACCTAGGGTTGGTGTTGATGAACTTTCCCTCACTCTTCCTTAAGGAAATTTGTTCTTTCCTGCCATTTGAGAGACATGTTCTTCCTCTTCTTCTTCAAAGAGCTAAAAATGCACCTTTATTTGCATAATGAAGATAGTGCAGTGAAGTACTTTCTTGCATTGTCAAGGAAATGAGCTCCAAAGGAACTTCCTTTTAGCATAGAGAAAGCTGCTGTTTTTATTTACTTGCATTTTGCATATGAATATATTTTAATTTAGTTTCAACAGGTAACTGAATTAGAAAGTGAAATTATAAAGTCATTTCTCCAAGAAAGAAGGTAGAGCTTATAAATATTAGTAATCTTAGCTGGGCACGATGACTTACGCCTGTAATCCCAGCACTTTGGGAGGCTGATGCGGGCCAATCACCTGAGGTCAGGAGTTTGTGACCAGCCTGGCCAATATGGTGAAACCCTGTCTCTACTAAAAGTACAAAAATTAGTCTCTACTAAAAATACAAAAATTAGCCATATGTGGTGGCACGTGCCTGTAATCCCAATTACTTGGGAGGGTGAGGCAGAAATTGCAGTGAGCTGAGACTGCACCACTGCACTCCAGCTTGGTGAACAGAGTGAGACTACGCCTAAAAATAAATAAATAAATAAATAAATATTAATAATCTTTTAAAGAAATGATTGTGGCTATTTCTAGGTCTAATGATACTTGCTTAATCGTATTGAAAACAATGTTATTTCTTTGAATGGCAATGGAATGTAAAATATTTAAAAACGCAATTTGACTTTTTTTACTTTTTAAAATTTATGTAGCTGGGCCGGGCACCCTGGCTCATGCCTGTAATCCCAGCACTTTGGGAGGCTGAGACTGGAGGATCACAAGGTCAGGAGATCGAGACCATCCTAGCTAACACGGTGAAACCCCGTCTCTACTAAAAACACAAAAAAATTAGCTGGGCGTGGTGGTGGGCACCTGTAGTACCAGCTACTCGGGAGGCTGAGGCAGGAGAATGGCATGAACCTGGGAGGTGGAGCTTGCAGTGAGTTTGAGATTGCTCCACTGCACTCCAGCCTGGGTGACAGAGCGACACTCTGTCTCAAAATAATAATAATAATAATAATAATAAATAAAATAAAATTTATGTAGCTGATATATTACTATAACCTCACTTGCATTTTTAAATTATTTTACTGGTTCTCTCTTTTTACTTTTATCTTACCTATGCTGTATTTGAAGTTAGTTTTATATAGACAGAATTTTAAAAATTATTTATTTATGGGGTACAAATGCAATTTGGACAATATTGTTGGCCATGGTTTTTCGTTTTTGATTTTTGTTTTTTTAACTACTCTGCCAATCTATGTTTTTTAGTTGGTTTCTATAGGCCTTTTATGTTTAACAATTTGTATGTTGTGGTTGATGTCTACCACTTTGTTATTTGTTTCTGTTTGTTTCTGTTTCTTATTCCTCTGTGTCTTTTTCTTGCTTTCCAATGGGTTACATAAACATGTTAAGTTTCCATCTTAATTTATTTATAGTGTTTTAAATACAATGTTGCATCACTTAATGACAAAAATTACATTCTGAGAAATGCATTAGGCAATTTCTTCACTGTGTAACATCATATAGTGTATTCTATGTGTAAATAGAGATAGCATAACCTACTACTCACCCTAGGTTATGTGGTACAGCCTATTGATCCTAGGCTACAAACCTATACAGCATGTTACTGTGCTGAATACTGTAGGCATCTGCAACACAACGGTAAATATTTGTGTATCTAAACATAAAAAAAGGTACAGTAAAAAATCCAGTCAAAACATCAAAAATGGTATACCTGATTAGGGCACTTACTATAAATGAAGTTTGCAGGGCTAGGAGTTGCTCTGGGAGAGTTAGTGAGTAAGTGGTGAGTGAGCGTAAATGCCTAGGGCATCATTGTACAAAACTGTAGACTTTATAAACACTGAATTTATAAAATTTATAAAGAAACTTATTTCTTTCAAAATACATTAAACTTATCCTACAGTAACTTTTTTACTTTATAAACTTTTTAACTTATTTTTAACTTTTTGACTCTTTTGTAACAACACTTAGCTTAAAACACATATTGTACACAGAAATACTTTATTTCCTTATATCCTTATTCTCTAAGATTTTTTTGTAATTTTACATCTTTTAATTTTTAATTTTTTTTTTGTTGTTGTTAAAAACAAAGACACAAATGCACATACTAGCGTAGGCCTACACAGGGTCAGTATGATCAACATCACTGTTTTCTACCTCCAGATCTTGTCCCACTGGAAGCTCCTCTAGGCCAATAATGCATATGGATCTGTCGACATCTATGATAACAATGCCCTCTGAAATGCCTCGTGAAGGACCACTGTGAGGCTGTTTTACAGTTGCCTATTACTTTTTTTTTTTTTTTTTTTTGAGACAGAGTCTCGCTCTGTCGCCCAGGCTGGAGTGCAGTGGCGTGATCTCGGCTCACTGCAAGCTCCGCCTCCTGGGTTCACGCCATTCTCCTGCCTCAGCCTCCCGAATAGCTGGGAATATAGGCGCCCCCCACCAGGCCTGGCTAATTTTTTGTATTTTTAGTAGAGATGGGGTTTCACCATGTTAGCCAGGATGGTCTCCATCTCCTGACCTCGTGATCTGCCCGCCTCGGGCCTATTTCTTTTAATAAGTAGAAGGTGTACACTACAATAACAATAAAAAATATGGTGTAGTAAATACACAAAAATGTAATATATTTGTTTATTATTATTACTAAGTAAAATGTACTTGTATTAGTCCATTCTCACACTACTATAAAGACACTACCCGAGATTGGGTAATTCATAAAGGAAAGAGGTTTAATTGAGTCACAGTTCTGCATGGCTGAGGAGGCCTCATGGAACTTACAATCATGGTGAAATGGGAAGCAGTCATCTTCTTCACAAGACAACAGGAGAGAGAAGGATTGTGTGTAGGAGGAGCTGTGAAACACTTAACAAAACCATCAGATCTCCTGAGAACTCACTCACTATCGTAAGAACAGTATGGCAGAAACCGCCCACATGATCCAATCACCTTCCACCAGATCCTGCCCTCAACACATGGGTATTATGAAGATTACAATTCAAGATGAGATTTGGGTGGGGATATAGAGCCAAAATATATCATTCCACCCCTGGCCCCTCCCAGATCTCACATATTTTTTACATTTCCAACCCAACATCATGCCTTCCTAACAGTCCCCCAGAGTCTTAAATCATTTCAGCAGTAACTCAACAGCCCACAGTTCAAAGTCTCATCTGAGACAAGGCAAGACGTTTTGGCCTATAAGCCTGTAAAATCAAAAGCAAGTTAGTTACTTCCTAGATACCATGAGGGTACAAGAATTGGATAAATGCTCCCATTCCAAATGGGAGAAATTAGTCAAAACAAAGGGGATGCAGGCCCCATGAAAGTCTGAAACCCAGCAGGGCAGTCATTAAAACTTAAAGCTTTAAAATAATCTCCTTGTCTCCATGTTTCACATCCAGGGCATGTTAATGCAAGAGGTGGGCTCCCATGGCCTTGGGCAGTTCCTTCACAGGCTGGCATTGAGTGTCTGTGGCTTTTCCAGGTGCACAGTACAAGCTGTTGGTGGATCTTCCATTCAGGGGTCTGGAGAACAGTGGCCCTCTTCTCATAGCTTCACTAGGCAGTGCCCCAGTGGGGAATCTGTGTGGGAGCTCCAACCCCACATTTTCCTTCTGCACTACCCTAGCAGAGGTTCTCCATGATGGCTCCACCCCTGCAACCAATCTCGGCCTGGACATCCTGGCATTTCCATACAACCTATGAAATCTAGGCAGAGGTTTCCACACCTGAATTCTTGACTTCTGTGTACCCTCAGGCCCAACACCATATGGAATCCTCCAAGGCTTGGGGCTTGCACCCTCTGAATCAACAGATGAGCTGTACATTGGCTCCTTTTAGCCACGGCTGGAGCTGGAGTAGCAGCAGCTGGGACACAGGGCACCAAGTCCTGAGGTTGCCCAGAGCAACGGGGCCCTAGGCCCAGCCCATGAAACCATTTTTCCCTCAGAGGCTGCTGGGTCTGTGATGAGAAGGGCTGCCATGGAAGTCTCTGATACGCCCAAGAAAAATTTTGCCATTGTTTTGGCTACTGTAATAACATTTGGCTTCTTGTTATTTAGGCAAATTTCTGTAGCCAGCTTGAATTCCTCCCCTGAAAAATGGGTTTTTCTTTTCTACTGCATGGTCCGGCTGCAAATTTTCCAAACTTTTATGCCCTGCTTCCATTTTAAACATAAGTTCCAATTTGAGATAATGTTTCTCAAATTAAAAGTTCCACAGATCTCTAGGACAGGGGCAAAATGCTTCCAGTCTCTTTGCTAAGGCAGAGTAACAGTGATCTTTGGGCTCTAGTTCCTAATGAGTTCTTGTCCATCCAAGACCACCTCAGCTTGGACTTCACTGTCTATATCACTATCAGCATTTTGGTCAAAACCATTCCACAGGTCCCTAGGAAGTTTCAAACTTTCTCACAACTTCCTGTCTTCTTCTGAGCCCTCCAAACACTTCCAACCTCTGCCCGATACCCAGTTCTAAAGTCACTTCCTCATTTTCAGTATCTTTATAGCAGTGCCCCACTCCCAGTACCAATTTACTCTATTAGTCTGTTCTCACACTGCTATAAAGATACTACCCAAGACAGGGTAATTTATAAAGGAAAGAGGATTAATTGACTCATAGTTCTGCATGGCTGGAGAGGCCTCAGAAAACTTACAATCATGGTGGAATAAAAGCAGTTGGCTTCTTCAAAAGGCAACAGGAGAGAATGAGTGTGTCTAGGAGAAATTTTCAAACACTTTTAAAACCATCGGATCTCATGAAAACTTACTCACTATCATGAGAACAGCATGAGGGAAACTGCCTCCAGGATCCAATCACTTCCCACCGGGTCTTGCCCTTGACACGGGAGGATCATGAGGATTACAATTCAAGATGAGATTTGGGTGGGGACACAGCCAAACAATATCAGTACTAGACAGAATTTTATGTGCTACACTTTTATATAACTGGCAATGAAGTAGGTTTGTTTACACCATCATTGCCACAAACAGGTGAGAAATATGTTAGACTATGATGTTAAGACAGCTCAGCTGCAATGTCACTAGGTAATATTCATCTCCATTATAATCTTATGGGACCACCATGATATATGCAGTCTACTGCTGAGCAAAACATCGTTATGCAGTGCATGATTGTACATGATTTTGTTTGGTTTTATTAATTGCACTGGTTAAAATAATATATGTGTAATGTCAAGATCTACTGTTACTGATGTTTTACCTCTTTGAGTGAAGTGTAGAAAACTTGTTTCCATATGAGTCTCTTTACTATCACTACTTTTTAGATATAATTATCTTAAATACTTCCTCTATGTTCCTTGAGCATCTAACCAGATAGGTCATTAATTTTTGCTTCAACTATTAGAAATGGCTTAAAAACTTAAGAGAAGTTTGATTATACATTATATTTATGCTTAATTTTACCCATTTAGATGGATGTTTGTAAAAGCTGCAAACCTTCTTCTTTTATCATTTCTTTTCTGTTTAGAGAACTTATTCTTTAAAGGTAAGTTTGTTAGCAACACATTACCTTAGCATTCTTTCATTAGACAATGTTTTCTATGTCACTTTAATGCCTGAAGAATATTATTGCTGGGTATTGAATTTACAGTTCACAGTTCTGTTCTTTCAGTACTTCAAAAATATTATCTGTTTCCTTCCAACCTTCATGGTTTCAGATGGAAAATCTGCTGTGGTTTACATTATTGTTTTTCTGTAAGAAATGTGCCATTTTTCTCTGTTTGCTTTCAAGATTTTTAATTTTTTTTTTTCATTTCCAGAAATTGAATGTATTTGGGTGTATTCTATTTAGGGTTTGCTCTGTTTCTTGAATATTTAGGTTTATGTCTTCCATCTAATTTGGGAAGGTTGAAGTCATTATTTTTTAATAGTTTTTTAGTCCCACATTCTATCTCCTCGTCTTCTATATCTCCTGTGATTATGAATGTTAGCTCTTTTATTATTGTTCTAAAGTTTCCTGAAATGCTGTTAAATTTTTTTTTATCGGTTTTCTTCTTCTTGTTCAGACAGTAAATTCTGTTGGCATGTTTTCAGATTCACTGATTCCATCTTCTGCTCTGTGCTCTCTTCTTTTGTGACCATCCTCTGCATCTATTATTTCCATTATTGTATTTTAATTTTATTTAGTTCATGTTTACTTTTTATAACTTATAAGTCATTATTGAATTTATTTTTAATTTTAACTTTTATTTGTTCCAAGAGAATACAATATATAATTGCTTATTTAAACACTTTTATGATGGTTTCTTCAAAATCCTTGTTAGATAATTCCAACCTCTTTTTTTTTTTTTTTTTTTTTTTTTTTTTTTGTCTGAAACAGTCTCACTCTGTTACCCAGGCTGGAGTGCAGCGGTATGATCTTGGCTCACTGCAACCTCCATCTCCCAGGTTCAAGTGATTCTCCTGCCTCAGCCTCCCAAGTAGCTGGGATTACAGGCATGTGCCAATGCACCCAGCTAACTTTTTATATTTTTAGTAGAGGCGGGGTTTCACCATGTTGGACAGGCTGGTCTTGAACTCCTGACCTCAAGTGATCCACCCATCTTGGCCTCCCACAGTGCTGGGATTACAGGTGTGAGCCACTGCGCCCAGCCCCAACCCCTTTTTTATGTCTGTGTTGGTGTCTGTTGTCTTTCTCTCATTCAGGTTATGATTTCCTAGTTCTTTTGTCTTATAAGTGATTTTTATTGTGTCCTGAATTTTTTTTTATATTATGAGAATTTTTCTCTCTTATTATTTCGTAGATGGTTCCCTATTGATGTGTAACCTGAGAGCTGGGTGGGTGTGCGTGTTTATCTTCCTGATGGGACCTACTAATACCATCCTACCAAAAGTAGAGTACTAACTTATACTTCCTTCTTGCAGACTGGTTAGGTGGAAGTTTGTCTTCTCCCTCCACCCACTGGCAACCTCATGGCAAAAGTAGGGTACTGAGTTACATATCTTTGTTTCCTCCAAGTGAAAAAATAACCTCACTTCCCTGATGTGGTCCACTGACACCAGGGAGGGGGTGAGTAGGGGCCAACTCATACCACTTGGTTGCTTCCAAGGAGTAGGAGTGGGGAGAAGCTGTGTAAGAACAGAACTGATCATTAAAGACCCTATTATAAATTCTTGCTTTTATAGTACTTATTCTCGTGGCTTAAATATTCCACACCAATTAATCACCACGGAATATATGAGACATTATATTAATTATTAAATTTTACATGGCAACACTAACAATATTAACTCCCATTTTCTATCTCTTTAATTGAGGTCATTCTTTAGAAGTTTAAGTATAATCCATTCTTCTGTCCTACACGACTGAGTGAAATAGCATGTAGCAGCAACATATAGTACCAGTATGTAATCCTAATGCAATGGCACACCCCAGATGACCCTTTTGTGTATTGGGATTGACCATGGTTTTTCAGTTTAATCAAAGTTTAATTGATTAAACTCGGGGTTCACATTTTCTTTCTACACACCAATATTGAAGAGAAGTACTACAAAATACATAGGAGCACTAAACTGGTAGTAATAAGAAAAACTAAAATATTTAAGATAATGTGTTGCTTTTATTTCTAATATTAGCTACTGATACAATCAAAGCACTGCGGCTCAGTTTTCTCTTTTGTAAGAGGACAAGTTTGTATTAGTTAATCTTTAAATGTCTCTACAATCTGATTCTGAGATTGTGAATAAATAGATCTAAATACTGTTACAGGTATATAAATACAGATATAAATGCAGGTATGGGTAAAATTATGGCTATGGGTCCCAGCCTTAAATTCTTATTTTTTTATAACTAATTGATGTTCAGGGATAGATTTATGTGATCTGCTCATTTGCAGGGGCCCATCACTTGGCTAATTCTTTGGTGTCATTCGTGTCAAGTTTTAAATAATTTTTGAGTAAGATGTCCTATATGTTAATTTTGCACTGAACACTGCAAATTTTGTAGCTGTTCCTGTTAATTTGTTAATGAAATTTCTCTTTAGAAACTATTAAATTAATAAGACAATAATTAAGCAAATAATTATTAAATTTTACATGGTAACACTAGCAATATTAACTCCCATTTTCTATCACTTTAATTCAGGCCATCCTTTAGAGGTTTAAGTATAATCCATTCTTATGTCCTACACAACTGAGTGTGTAGTACCAGTATGTAATCCTAATGTAATGGCACACCCCAGATGACCTTTTTGTGTGTTGGCATGGTTTTTCAGTTTAAGCAAAAGTTTAATTGATTGAAACTTGAAGTTCACATTTTTTTTTCTACACACCAATATTGAAGAGAAGTCCTACAAAATACTTATTCTATGGAAAAAAACAAAGTCCACTTTAGATCTAAAATGGTTGCATAAAATTTTGAGAATAACTTAAATGTTATATGAATGTAAGTAAAAATTTTACTGTAAACTTTGTAATTGCTAACTATAAACAGAAAACAAGTATATCTTATATAAAGAAATGTGTAGACTCTCTGTATTAATCCATTTTCACATTGCTATAAAGAATACCTGAGACAGGGTAATTTACAAAGGAAAGAGGCTTAATTGACTCACAGTTCTGCACGGCTGGGGAGGCCTCAGGGAACTTACAATCATGGTGGAAGGGGAAGCAGGCACGTCTTACATGGCAGCAGGGGAGAGAGAGCATGTGAAGGAGGCACTGTCAAACACTTGTAAAACCATCAGATCTCATGAGAACTCACTCACTATCATGAGAACATCTAGGGGAAACTGTGCCCATGATCCAATCACCTCCCACCAGGCCCCTCAACACATGGGCATTATGGGAATTACGATTCAAGATGAGATTTGGGTGACAGCACAGAGCCAAACCATATCACTCTCTGTGCCTTGTATTTCTCATACTAGTCAATGCCAACTCATTAAAAGTTATCTGGAGATATAACATTTTTGGGGGATTATATATTGCCACTACTGTTATATTTTTGTCAGGATAATGTAGCAATTCCCAAATAAATCATACTTAAACCTCCACAGAAAAGATAAATAGAAATGAGAATTCCATTGCCAGCATTGCTTTGAAAAACGTTTCAGAACTTTGAATATATATACTCATAAACACACACACATACACAGATATATATTTCTGCATGTGTATATACATATATGGATACATATGTTCTTAAACTTTCTTTTAACAGAAAAATTAAAATAGAAGGAAAATAATAGAGCACTAGTTATATAACTAGTATTATATAAATAATGTTATGTAACTAGTTATATAATTAAAAATATAAGAACCTAGGTGAGAATGAGAAAATCTAGATTTAGATTTACTACTTTTCCTAATACACACCCACACACATATATGTATGTGTGTGTGTGTGTGTGTGTGTGTGTGTGTGTGTATACTGTATTTGTCTCATAGTGGCTGGAGCACATTACTACCAACTTAGTGGATTAAAACACCACAAATCTACTATCTTACAGTTCTGCAAGTAAAGACTAAAATAGAGTCACATAGGTGAAAATCAAGAGCTTCTACTCTCTTGAGGCTGCTTGGATTCTTGGCTATAACCCCTTTCTCCATCTTGAAATTCTGTCACTCCAACCTCTGCTTTCATAACACATCTCCCATCTCCTTCCTAACTCGAAGGCATCTTCTCAGTCTTACAAGAACTCCACTTGGGTTCACATTTGGAACACCCAAATAACCCATCTTAATATTCTCATCTCTAGATCCTTAAATAATTGCTTCTACAATGTCCTTTTTGTCATGGAAGGTGACATTTTCACAGGTTCCAGAAATTAGGACGTCGACATTTTAGTAAGCCATTATTCTGTCTACCACAGTGGCCTTGAATAGAAATCCTTCAGTTTTCATATACAGAAACAAAACGTTCTTCCAAATGAGGAAGCTAGATTGGGAAAAAAAAAAGTCAGCCACACAGGTCTCCCCATTAAAACTTAAAGATGGTTACATATTTTATTCTGAGTTAAAATGGAGAGTCTTCCTATATAACTCTCTTTCCACTGTATGATTTATCACTTAATAGCTCTCCCTTTCCGTTGTATGATTTGTCACTTAATATCTCTCTCTTACTTGAAGTCAGAGAACAGCAAACAGTTTGCAAAATATATAAATAGTCTATAAGTTGTGGTCCAAATAGTTCTTAGAATTCAGCTACATCTAAGTACACAATTACTTATTTAAGCTTGATTCAGTGAAACAGATTTTCAGTTGAGTTTCTTAATGGGAATGACCAGTCACATTTTTCAAATTTGGCTTTATGCATAAATTGACAAATTATTTATAATTTGAAACATCTGGGCTCATTTTTTAAAAACAACTCATAAAATAAGAAATCATTTTATTGGTTCAAGCACGCATGCTATTAAATGACTCATCTTAATTTTTATCTTTTCATAAATGTTGGAAAATCTCAAGAAACCGTTATGTTGTCCTAAAAATGGGCAAGCAAGGTTAATTTGTTTTTGATGTTTAGATAGTTAGGTTATTTCTCATTTTTCTTTTAGGGATTACGTTGCTATCCTAAAGCTTGACATTGGTTAGAGTCAGCCAATGTCAAATTTTTACCTATAGATAGTCTTAGAAAGATATTGCAAATTAGTGCTGCTTCTAGTAGCTAAAATAACCTGCAGCTAGCTGGCAGGCAGCAGTGAATATTTTAAAAGGTGTACCAAATTACATTTAGATTTTCAGTTCCTTTTGAAGTGAAAAGAATATTCAAAGCTTGGAAGTCTTTGACTCTCATAAGCCTAGTAGATTTCAAGTATAAACATAGATTTAAAGATAGTTTACAGACAAATTGTGGATTTTATGTTATAATCTCAGATTAATGATTTTTTCCTTTTTGTGATTTTTTTCCCAAAGTAATTGTAAAGGACTGTGTGTGTGTGTGTGTGACAGAGAGAGAGAAACAGAGAGAAAGAAACAGAGATAGAGACATTGTCCAAATGTACACGTAAGATTTTCTGTGACAATTACACATGGATTATCTAGTAACAAGTTGAACTACATGAAGCAATTGTATATCATCAGATATATACTATATGAAACAACTGTGTGTAATCAGATTTATACTACATGAAGCAACTATATATAATCAGATTTACACCACTTTCTGAAGAAAACTACAATTAATTGGATACTAAAATGGTTTCTGAAAGCCTAATTATTCTCAAGTCCATATGTGTATTTGGTGGGATGGCAGTGAGTTTTTGGAACAAGCTTAACTGTTTTTTGAAATAGTTGTGAACTTCACAAGTTAGATGAAATACATGTCACAAGAAATTTTCCATGTGGAGACAATTTAGTAGTATTTCCACATTTATGTTCAATAAGTGTAAATTATAAAATGATATTTTTGCTCAAAAATAAATGAAAATAACACATTTGAAACAAAAGTAGACTCACCCACCCTCCAGAATGATATCCAAAGACCAAAGGAAGTTTGGCCTTTTTTAGGCATTTGAGACTTGCTTTCAGTAAATCATATCATCATATTTATTTCTATAACTTTTCTTTTTTTTTGAGATGGAGTCTCGCTTTGTCACCCAGGCTGGAGGGCAATGGCGTGATCTTGGCTCAGTGCAGCTTCCGCCTCCTGGGCTCAAGTGATTTTCCCACCTCAGCCTCCCCAGTAGCTGGGATTACAGACGTGAGCCACTATGCCTGTTTATTTATTTATTTATTTATTTTTTAAGTAGAGATGGAGTTTCACCATGTTGGCCAGGCTGGTCTAAAACTCCTGACTTCAAGTGATCCACCCACCTTGGCCTCCCAAAGTGCTGGGATTACAGGCGTGAGCCACTGGGCCCGACCTCTGTAACTTTTTATATTAGTGTTTATCATGAGTACGCACAAAAAACCACTTTTTGAATATCTTTTTCTCACATTTTTAATTATTAAGAACAAGGCAAAAATGTGTATACATTAGGTAAAAACTGCCAAAGCATGTCCAAAGAAGAAATAAAGTTCTGTAAATACTCAGAATCAACAGCTGAATAGGTATTCAGGTTTTCAGAGTTAAAAGCACAAATGCATATTTTAGTCTCTTTTCATTTTATTTTAAATATGACTATCCATAGAATGACTATTGCACAGTTTCATATAACTCCCTTATTTGTGTATTTAGTAACTGAGATTCATTATTTTTTAATTAGTACCTAAATAATTACTAGTAATCTGAAACTAATTTTCTTTTATGAGGGCAAAATGCTTTTTCTTTTAATAGGAAAAAGCAAAAAGGAAGTTAGTTTAAGTATTTTTTAAATAAAAGAAATTGACAAAATAAAAAGCATGTTAAATTTAATTGTAACCCTGATGTATGTAAAACCTTTATTAAAAAGATTTTTCCAAAGTTCTTATTAAGCTTTAATTAGCTATTTGTATATATTACCTTACTGGCATTTTAAAAGTATAATTATTACATATTGTGTGGAAAGATTTAAACATTCAGAAAATATAAAACTCAGTGCAACTATTTTTTCCTACTCTTCATGTATTATAATTCAGTCTTTTTGATAATTTTATATATATAGAAGGTATGATATTTATATTACATTTAAAATTTAGTACAACTTTTATTAAAGTGTACATATTATTTATACAATGCTTTTTTCTTTTCTATATCTATACAGCTTACCCACTTTTTAGAAGGCTGCATTTTTTTCTATAACATGTATATGTTGTACTTTACTTGTCTATATCCCCATTAAGAGATATGTTGCTTCCAGGTTTCATTATTATAAATACTGTTTCAGTGAACAGCTTTCAATATACATCTTTGTGCCCATGTGACAATAAAAGTATTTTTGTATGCATCTGCAAGTATAATAGTTATAGTGTCCATGCATTTTCAATTGGGGAGTTGTTTCAAAATAGCCCTACATTTTTCAAAAAATTCTAATTCAAAGGACTGCTCCCCTTTCAAACCTGGTAAATATTGAAGTCCTTAATGCTTTTGCCAGAATTAGGCTGAATTGACAGAGCACTGATATGTAGAAGATATATATATATATATATACATGTATATTATATATGTAATATATTATAAATATAATATATATATATAAAATTCTTAAAATTTAGCAAGTAACTGAACAACAAAAATGACAGATAAAAGAAGCAGGTCATGCATAGCCTATCTGCCTGAGATTTATTTAACCCTTCTTCAGAAGAGGCTTTGATTCTTGTCTCTCTGTGTCTACCTATAGACAGCATTTCTCCCAGGAAGCTTGCCCTGACCTCCTAGAATTGGTTATGTACCATTTATATATTTTTCATATTCCACTGTACATAACTCATAACAGAAATTATCACAAGGGAACAGCTGTGGTTTTATTGTTATGTCTAGCTATCCAGCTATCATCTTCACCAGACTGTAAGCTCCTTGAAGGCAGAAGCCAGATTTATCTTCATGACATCTGTGTTTTAGATGAGGTCTCAGAGATAGAGGTCAGAATTTTCCCTCTAGGTAAATTAATTAGATTAACCTCAACTTATACAAAACAGTAGTCATTAAATTTATCCCCAGCCATCAGGAGCTTAACTACTCTGGAGAGAGAGCCAGGTGTTGGAGTAGGCAATTAAGACATCAAGACAAAAGGACATTAACAAACCTTTGAGGTTAAACTGGAAAAAGCCCTGACGGTCCAGTCCCCATCCTTTTTTTCCTTCATGAAACAGCTCTATCAAGGATCACATGGGTCAGCAGATGTGGAGTTGTCTCACTATCAAAGGAACCCTGAACAACAGGCTCCTGCAGTTTTATGGAAGGTCAGGAAAAGGCTGGGAGCGGAAAAGCACTGAGTATTGAATCAGAAGGAAGACAATTGTCTTCAAGACTCCTCCTCCTCTCCCCATGAAAAGGAGGTCTTGGGCAAACATGCCTGGGGAAGGTCTGCCAAGGTCCCACAGTGGAGAGGCCTCCAGGGGAGGCACCAGTCAAGTGATGCTGATCTGTGTGTGAGCATGGCCCTGCAGCCCTTACTGAAACTGCCATTAGAGGACTATGCACTAGTGTGGGGAGGGCAGCTCTCCCTGTGGGACCCACTTGGTCAAGTCTTTGTCATTGTTTATGGATGGGCCCAAAAATCACATATAGGATTGAGTCTGGGGCTGAACTCTTTACTGCTCTGTCTGTATTCCCTGTCTTGGTTGACACCTAATACATGACTAAGAAACTAAGAAATCATTTTAGACGTCGTTTTTGTGTCTGTGTTTTATGCTTTGTTGGCTTGAAAACTTCATCCAATAAAACTTTAGTTATTTTTATTACCATTTCTTCCTTTATGACCCCACAGCATCCTCCATGTGCCAGGGTCCAAATCATCTTTAACCCGGACTATTCTATCAGTACCCAAATATATTCTTTCATCAAAATATATTCTTTCTCTTCTCTGGCTGTAATCTCATTCATTTCCAGGCTACTTCTTTTCAAACTAAAAAGCAAATATAATCACACTATTCTCTTTCTTCAAACACTTTCCCAATTCCTAGAGTAAAATCCCCCTTTTATAACATATAAGGCCTCAGTGACCTACCCTCAGGACTTCTTTAATTATTCTCCCATATTGTCCTATTATGTACCTGTTCCATCATCCTTACAACCCTCAGAACTCCCTAATCTGTTTTAATGCCACATTGTTATGCTCTTAATTTCCTTTGATAAAATGATTCTTTCCATTCATAAACTAGTTGATTACCACAACTTCTTAAGTATTCTATTGAAGTTTATCTTATTAGTCCATTTCACACTGCTATAAAGATACTACCTGAGAATGGATAATTTATAAACAAAAGAGGCTTACTTGACTCACAATTCCACATGGCTGAACTTATAAGTGAACTTATAATTAAACTTATAATCATGGTGGAAGGTGAAGGGAAAGCAAGGCAAGTCTTACACTGTGGCAGGTAAGAGAGAGAGCATGCAGGGGAAACTGCCACTTATAAAACCATCAGATCTCCTGAGAACCCCCTCACTATCACAAGAACAGCATAGAAAAACACCCTTTTGAGCTAATCACCTCCCACCAGGTCCCTCCCCATGACACATGGGGATTACAATTCGAGTTGAGATTTGGGTGGGGACACAGAGCCAAATCGTAACATGTATCTTCTTTGCCAAGATTTTCCTTACAACGCAAAGTAGATTGACATATTTTAATTTCTTCCATCCCACCCCACCATAATATTCTTACCTCTATGACAGTGCTCATCAAAATTTGTAGCTATTATTTGTTTAAATGACTTCATTATGCTTCTTAAGAGGCATAAACTTTCTGCTATATTCATCTTTGTATGCCTGTCACACATTACATTGGCTGAGACAAGGTAAATATTTAATACATATCTATTAAATAAGAAACTTAAAAAAATAAAAGAGTGAATGAATAACTGTATCTAGGAAGTATGAAAGTGACTTATCTTTTAGCATTTTTCATCAAGGAATTAAGAAATGTGTGGGGAAAAAGTTAAGAGGCCCCAGTTAAAATGGCTTTTATCCCAAATTCAGGCAATAACAAAAGTTGGCGAGGATATACAGAAAAAGGAACCCTTGCACACTGTCAGTGGGAATGTACATTAGTATGACCCTTAAGGAGAACAGTCTGGAGTTTCTCAAAAAGCAAAAATTGAGCTATCATATGATCCAGCAATCCCACTCCTGGGTGTATAACCAAAAGAAAGGACATAGTATATCAGAGAGATATCTGCACTCCATGTTTATTTCAGCACTACTCACAATAGCCAAAATTTGGAATCAACCTAAGTATCCATCAAGAGATGAATGAATGAAGAAAATATAGTACATATACAAAATGGAATACCATTCAGCCATAAAAAACAATGAGTTCCTGTCATCTGCTACAATGTGGATAGAACTGGAGGTCATTATGTTAAGTGAAACAAGCCAGGCGCAGAAAGACAAACTTCGGATGCTCTCACTTATTTGTGGGAGCTAAGGCTTAAAACAATTGAACTCATGGAGATAAACAGTATAAAGGTTAACAGGCTGAGAAGGGTAGTGAGGGTTTGGGAGGAAAGCGGGGCACACTAATAGGTACAAAAACATAGTTAGAAAGAATGAATAAGACCTAGCATTTGCTAGCACAACAGGGTGACTATAGTCAAAAATAATTTAATCGTACATTTAAAAATAACTAGAAGAGTATAATCAGATTGTTTGTAACACAAAGGATAACTGTGTGAAGTGATGCATATTCAATTTACCCTGATGTGATTATTATGCATGTATCAAAACATCTCATGTACTCCATAAATTTTCAAAAGAAGTATGTACAGCATAATGCTTAAAATAATATACTGTAATAGTCTACAACTTGGCAAGAAATTAAGCTTTTGTTTATTTTTGTCACAACAGTTATACTACATGCAGATTAAAATATATATTTTTTATATATATACCATCTATCTTTTAAGGGCATTTTTCATAACCTTGAAATATAAACAATAAAAATTATGAAGCAATAATTTATTTTTTTAAAAAAATCCACTTGCCAAACAAACAAGATACTCCTTCCAGGATGTCAGTAATATCAAGATAAAATGCCAGAGAATTTTAGCTGAGTATAGGAAATCAAACAGCTAATTTTTAACTTTGATGGAGGAGAAAATTAAATAAATTCTGAAAATTCATCCATTTATTTTTCTCTCTCCATATATGTTAACAACAAGCAAACACATTAAATCCTTAAATTTGGTTACTAAGTTCACAAATGTCATGGACACAGTGAGGTAATATTTACAGACTGAATACTGATTTACTATCCTTTGAGTTTATTTCTACATTTCATAGAGTAGATGCTCTTTATAGATAAACTCTTTTGGAAAAAGTCCAGATAACTGGATAATTAACTATTAATATCACTTTTTGAAAATTAAATAGTAATATGTTTCTTCCAGGAAAAATTATTTAACAGGTTTTATTCAGACTACTAAGACATATGAAAACCTGACATTAACTCTTTGGTTTTCTAAAGATTCTCTTCAGGAAAATATGCCATCAGTCTTTCTAAATGTATTCAATTTTATCTCAGCAGTCTTGAACCTCCATCTACATGATGTTAATATACCTCCAAACAGCCATTCACATTTCTTAAGGTGATGAAATATGTATTACCTATAATATTCTTAACTAAGTTATTGTAAGGCATATTTATCATGCCACATAATCCTGGGCGAAAATTGGATATAATAACAATTCCCAAAAATGCCTCTTGACAAAGAGTTGGAATTCAACTTTTTTCTTCTACTGCTAAGGATGTTTGCATCATGTCTTTGGAAAAATGTATCTCATAATTGCAAAGCCCTAATTCCTGATGCTCCATTAACAATATTACTCAAGATATTGTTGCTGATGTGGCTGCTTATATTATTCCCAAGTGAATTTGTAGATATTTAGCAATAGCTGAGGCCATCTACAACGTAAATTCCTATCTATGTTACTCCTCTTGAGAATCTACTCTTGGTACATTTAGCAAAGGAAGACACTTTTAGCAACACAGCAGTCCCCCCTTACCAGCGGTTTCACTTTCCCCAGTTTTAGCTATCAGGGGTCAATCATGTTTTGAAAAATATTAAATAAAATTTATAGAAATAATAACTTTGATATTGTGTACCATAACGTGATAAATTCTCGGGTTGTCCATCCTACTCCCTGTTTTCTTTATCACAAAAAGAAAAGTAGATAATAATAAGGTATTTCAAGAGAAAGAGAGACCACATTCACATAACTTTTACTACAGTATATTGTTATAATAATTCTATTATTAGTTATGTTCATATAATTATTAGTAAAAGGAATATATTTATATTCCTATATAATTATAGAAGTATACTACTCCTATAAATAATATATTAGTATAACTAATATAATTCTATTATCATTAGTAGTGTTAGTTTAACTAATAAACTAATAGAATTATTAAACTAATATAATTAGCCTATTAGTTTAATACTACTCCCATAATGAGTATATTAGTTTAAACAAATACTACTACTATAATAATTAGTAGTAGTTTAACTAATAAACTACTATAATTATTAGTTAAATTTCACTATGCCTAATTTTTAAATTACAGTCTATTATAAGTATGTATGTGTAGGAAAAATAGTACATGTTTACTATCCACTGTTTCAGGCATCAACTGGGGGTCTTAACACATATCTTTTTACAGATAAGGGTGGAGCTACAGTTACCTTCCAAAAGGTAGTATTGCCACTGCCATTGTTGCCTGCTAATGTAAATTCCAAAGAAGTAGATGATTTTGGGAAGGGCAGAAAATAAAAATCATTAATGCAGATTACCATTGCCATAGTCTGAGAAGTGACATGAAACTTGAGATTGCTAGAGCTCATAGGACAGTAGAACAGTGAAGACATTGAGGTTTAAAGTGTTAATGTCATGAAGATAGCTAAAAACAGGACTTGATCAGTATAATCCTCTACCTAACACAACTTGGAATGGGGCAGAGAGTAAAGAAATGGACCTCGGTAAGGATGTGCATGAGCACTAAGAGATAGTGCTTGATGCAAGAGCAATAATAACAACAATAACCACAACAAAGGTATATTATTGGGAGCATTAGAGAAGAACAACAGAAAACTAAAAATGTTGTGGATGTTACCTCCAAGCAAGAAAATGGGACTAGGGACACAGGCCCTTTTTGTTTTTTGCTTGCACATTCTGTAATTAGAAAATGTTATTTTATAGACACACATATCAAATAATAGGAGAAAAAAGATATTTCATGTAAGATTAGTTTATTCTCAATATTCTGAATTAGAATATTGGATTAAAACAATATTTAGAATGATAGAAGCTGGATTAAAACAACTTTAAAACAAGCATTTGTACTGCATTGACATCTCTATACAAGTTGCTGTCATACTAGTTGAGAAGAGCTTGGGGACCTGGACTTGGGAGATTTAATTACCCCTCTGATAAAATTACTCAGAGGGGTAACCTTATGAAGAATTCTGAAACCAAGAATTTGGAAGTCTAAGAAAAGAAGGGACAACAATGCAAGTTGTCCAACCAAAACCTCTCTTCCCTACTTTCTTGTTTCTGAATGCCATTTTTGTTTGAAAGAGCAATGTGTCCTGCCAAATAACTACAATGCCCAGTCTCCTTGCCCTTGTGGCTGGTGACATGTTATAGTCCTGTAGAAAGATACGTGGGCTGAAGTTGTTGAAAAGGACACTTTGTTCTTCAACTTCTCCCTTCCTGCCCTGATATAAAAACATGATAACACACTACTTATTACTCTAAATATGCATAACTTTTATATGCACTAGGAAGTGTATATATCAATACTTAGAGATACAATTTCAGAAATGGTCAAATTAAAGAAAACAAGTTAAAAGTTTACAAGTTCTTATAATAATTATAGAGGCAAGATAAATTACAGATTCAATTTTTTAAACTAGTAATTTAATTAATCACATCATGGATAATGTTTAGAGCTAAAATTTATTCTGTATTTACATAATCAATATTGTAATTAAAAACCACTGAGTATTTTTTGTTGCAACTGAATGTTGTGTCCCCTCAAAATTCATGTGATGAAAACTTAACCTTCAGTATGATGGTAGCAGGACCTATAAGCTGCATATTTATAATGAACTTTGGGAAGTAATTAGCTTATTATGGTGGAGGCTTCATAAATTAGATTGGTGCCCTTAAAAATGACTCTTGAGAGCTCTTTCTGTCCACCATGTGAAGCTGCATTGAGAAGGCAGCAGTCTGAAACCCAAGAGAGCTCTCTCACCAGAACCCAATTATGCTGGCACTCTGCTGTTGGACTTCCAGCCTCCAGAACTGTGAGATGTGCATTCCGTTATTTAAAAGCCACTCAGGTTATGGAACTTTATTAAAGCAGCCTGAACCGCTGAAGGTGGAAATTGATCATGAGAAGTGGGAGTGCTGTTATTATAAATACCTAAAACAAAGTGAAAATGGCTTTGGGCTCAGTGATTGGCAGAGATTGATGAGGTTTTATGCAAAATGCTAGATTACTGTGGAAGAAATTTAAAAGCCAATTCTCGTGAGGGCTCGGAAAGAAATATAGAAGAAAACGCTGTCTTCTCAGAAAATAATTAAATAATCATGAACAGAATATTGATAAAATATGGACAGTAAAGGTCATTCTGTTGGAGTCTCAAATGGAAATGAAAATGTTATTGGAAAATGGAGCAAAAGCAATCCATGTTGAAAAGTGGAAACAAACTTCTTTGAATTGTATTCATGCTCTTGTGTTTTGCGGAAGGTGGAACTTGTGTGCAGTGAAATTGGACATTTAACCCAGCAGATTTCTCAGCAACATGTAGAAGCAGCAGCTTGGTTCCTTCTGAATCCGTAGAGTCAAATGTAGAAAAAGAAAAAGGTTTGAAGATGGAATTGTTAAGGAAAAAGTAACCATAATTTAAGATCTGGGAAATTCTCAGCCTGTCCATATTGCAAAAAAAGTGAGAAAGTGTGTTCTGAAGAGAACATGAAGAGTGTTTCGGACCCTTACTGATTTGATTAATATGGGTGTGAACCACAGGCTTAATCAAACATCTCAACACAAACCATGACTAGAAATGGGATTATACCAGGAGAAACACTGCCAGTTGGGACTAAAGGAAACAGAGATAATGGGACGAAATAAAGGAAGACATTCGGAATGCTTAAGCCCTACAGGCCCGGACCCGAGAGCTATTCAGTTGTGGATGTGTGCTATTCTCTCCTTCAAAATTACGGAAGAAGGGGCGCAAAGGGGATTTGGAGACAATTACAGCTGCTGCTTTTACCAAAAATCCAGAGGGTATGGCAAGGTGGGCCAAGGTTGCCTCCATTTTGATTTCAAAGGACAGAAATGATGCTCAGAGGAGCTGTGTGGGAGGGCCATCCAGTGAAGCCCTGGGTGAGTGACCTCAGCCCTGACAAAAGACTGTGCCATAAGTGGGTCCAGTGCATAGAGTCAGCAGCGAGCAGTGCCTCACTGAGCTGTCGGGGACTGTCTGGAAGGTGAGTCATCAAGCCAAAGAGGATGCTTCTTGAACCTTAGGGTTTGATGGAGTTTGCCCTGTTAGGTTTTAGATTTACTTGGGATCCAGCATTCATATATTTTATTTTTTTCGAATAGTGGTTCTTTTTGGAATGGGAATGTTTATCCTATGCCTGTCTCACCATTGTATTTTGAAAGTTCATGTTGTTTGATTCCACAGGTTCACAGATGAAGAGAAATTTTGTGAGAATGAACTGTACCGTGAAGCTCACCTGCATCTGATTTAGGTAATATTTAAATAAGACCTTGGACTTTAGACTGGACTTGAGGCTGGAATGAGTTAAGATTTGTGGATTTGTTGGAATGGAATGACTGCATTTTGCATGTGAAGACATGAATTTTGGGGAACCTGGGGCAGAATGTTACGGACTGAATTTTTAAAGTGTACCCTCAAAATCTGTATATTGAAATCGTAACTGTCAATGTAATGGTATTAGTAGTGGGACCTTCAGGAGGTAATTAGGTTGTGATAGTAGAGGCCTCATGAATAGGCTTAGTGTTCTTATAAAAGGGACCTAAGAGAGCTCTCACTTCTTTCCCCATGTGCTTATACAAAAACCCAACAGTCTGCAACCGCAAAAGGGCCCTCCCCAAAACCAGAACATCCTGGCACTCTGACTTTGGACTTCCAACCCCTAGAACAGTAAGAAATACTTTTTTTGTTATTTGTAAGCCACTCAATCTATGGTATTTTGTATAGCAGCCCAAACTAAGACACTCCTCTACACTACAGTGTACACCACATTCTTCTGCCTCTTGGTATGCTTCAGTCACATTGAACTATATTTTGTTTACTAAACATGGCAAATTTATTACTGCACTATGGTTTTGCCATATAATTTTTCCTGTCTTTTCAAACAGAAATTATTTCACAGCATACGCAGCTATAGGCAATTATCTAGCTTATGTATAAAATTACTTTCCTGATATTTGTCTCATTTTTTGTTTTTAAATGTTTTAAATAAACAAATAATAATTGTTTTGAGGGGTACAGTATTATGTCTTCGTATATATTTATATTGTGGAATGATTAAATCAAGCTGCTTAACACATCTCTTATGTCACATATTTATCTTTTTGTTGTGAGAACACTGAAAATAGACTTTTTAGCAATCGAAAAAAGGCAAACCCTTAAAAGTAGAGAGTAGAATGCTAGTTAATGCTGGAGGCAAGGGATAGGGAATGGGGAGATGTTGTTCACAGGGTACAGTTTCAGTTAGACACAAAGATTGAGTTTTAGAGATTGACTTTATAGCAGAGTGACTATATTTAAAAATGACTTCTTGTACATTTCAAATTTTCTATTTAAAATACACGTAGTATCTGTATTCCCAGTTCTTAAAACATGACCTATTAAATAACAGATTTGCAAGACTGAATGATTTTTTTTTACCTTGTCCTGATCTCGATTTTTTTTAAACTTTATCTCATTAATTGCTAATTCTCTCTTTATGAATGTTAAATACTTAAAATAGCACCAAACATAACAAAACAAAACAAAAACAAAATTTGTTTTTTATTTCAAATGGCATGTTCCATTGCGTTCTAAGACTGGACTGTCTTGGAGATAAAGGAGACTTCATTATTTTATGTAATATTCCTTTGAGAAATCCTGAGCTTTGTGCAAAAATGACATACTTCATTTTTTTTTTGCATAATTTTGTCACTCCATAGAGCCCAGATCGAGTTCCTAAGTTCTCACTAAGGCACATGGGTCTAATTCCATTACATTTTTGGCCTGTGTCAATTAATTTTCTTTTCTCAGATAATAAATTTACACTCCTATTCCACTTCTGAGCAGTTAGACATTTTCAGCATGGAACATTCTATTAAAATGAAATGGCAAATTGCCTTGTAGCACACACATTTTCAAAGAATGTTTTGTCTGATAATGTAGTTCTTATGAGTTTCTTTCCAAAGTAATCCATTTACACAAAATACATTATTAATTTTGTGCATTTACAAATTACACATAATTTCAAAGTGATGTCATTGTTCCACAAATACATCTAGGTTTCAAAGTGATTGATTAAATTCTGTTTAAAATTTTGCACAGAAGTGCAGTATATAATCACATTTTATATCCCTCTGTGCAGGATATAGTTTTCTAAATCATACTCCGTTGTCAGGAGCATGTTCATCTTCCATACAGAACACACTGACTGAAAATAAGATCAAGTCTACACATTTGGGATATAAATTTTTGAGATTACTGCTCTTGGTATAATATATCTCTCTTGTACTTGAGCCTCTAGATCTTGCTGTTTTTAACACTTTTGTGCTCGCAAGATTTACGCTTCTGTATACTTTGTTTATATTCAGCAGCTAAGTATATTTTGTCCTGTTATCATGACTCAACCTGTGATTTGTTTCAAAAGTACAAGTAAGATTTTAAACATAATTATAGTGTAATCTCTTTAAATTTTGCTGCATTATCACTCAGAATGAGAAAAATATAAATTAAAAGTGTGTGCACATGTATACACATTGTTCAATATACAAACTTAGGTATCATGTTAGATTCATCACGATTTGAAAATGAAATCTGATTATAATACTTGCAAGATGACTTACAAGTTAATATTTATATGTACACTTACAATTTTTATAATTTTTAAAACCATCCAATATGTTAGTTTTCTTTGATTTCTAATGATAACAGTAGAAATATCTGGCCCTGGTTATCACATCTGGTTGTTATGATCAATAGAAACGATATATGCAAAAGCAAATACATTTTAAAACTTTTTAATATTAATTTTTATTGTTACATATTCTGAATAATGCAGTTTTATAGTTATTATTATAACATGACACAAATGGTAGAGATTTTGATGCCTACATTTTTAATAAAAATGTTCAAAACCATATTTCACAAGATGTATCATGCTGTAAGGTTGCAACAGCCCTCTCAAATAGAGTTCTGCCTTTCTCTTGCCATTTAAACTAATGCTATCTGAGAGTGCAACAGAAGGCCCTCATTACATGCTGGTATCTTGATCATTGACTTCCTTGCCTACAGAACTATCAGAAAATAATTTTCTATTTTTTATAAATTACCCAGTCTCAGGTATTTTGTTACAGCAGCACAAAACAGACTAAGACATAAAGTGTAAAATTATCCTTCCATATTGCTGCAAGTGAAATGATGTTATTTTTTATAGCTGTGTAGTATTCATTGTGCGTGTATGTGTGTGTATATATGTATATATGTATATCACATCATTTTCTTTATCCAGTTATTTGTTGATGGACACATGTTGATTCAATATCTTTGGTATTATGAATATTGCTGCTATAAATAAATGAGTGCAAATATCTTTTCTGGTATAATGATATTTTTTCTTTTGGGTATACACCCAGTATAGGATTGATAGAGTGAATTGTGGCTCTTTAATACTTGAAAAAATTTTCATACTGTTTTAATAGAGGTGGGACAAATTTACATTCCTTCTAATTATACTATAAGGCTATAGTAACAAAAACAATATGATAGTGATATAAAAATGGACACAATACTCAATAGAGCAAAATAGAAATTCCAGGAATAAAGTGACAAAGGCACTTTGTCACTTTATTAGTGGATATTTATAAAGGGACCTACCTACAGTCAATGGATGTTTGACAACATTGAAAAAAACATACACTGGGAAAAGGATATCCCCTTCAATAAATAGTGCAGGGAAAATTGGAAAGCCACATGCAGAGGAATAAAACTGGGCCCCTATCTGTTGCCATCCACAAAATTAACTCAGGATGAATTAAAGAATTAAATATAATACCTGAAGATATAAAAGTACTCATAGAATACCTGGAAAAACTCTTCTAGACATTGGCCTTGGCAAAAAATTTGTGACTAAGACCTCAAAAGCAAATTTAGCAAAAACAAAAGTAGACAAATGGGACTTAATTAAACAAAAAAGTTTCTGCACAGCAAAAGAAATAACTGAGAAAACAGATAACCTGAAGAATGTGAGAAAATATTTGCAAACTATGCATCCAACTAAGTACTAATATCCAGAATCGACAAGAAATTCAAACAACTCAACAACAACAACAAAATAGATAACCCCATTAAAAAATGGACAAAGTACATAAACAGGCATTTCTCAAAAGAAGACATACAAGTGGACAGCAAACATATGAAATAATGCTCAGTCTCATCATCAGAGAAATAAAAATTAAAACCACAACGAAATGTCACCTTATACTAGTCAGAATGGCTAGTTTTTAAAAGTCACAACACATCAGGTATTGATGAGAATGCAGAGAGAAGTGAGTGAATCCTTATATAGTATAGGTGACATTTTTATTTATAGAATATCAAAATAGTTACTTAAAATTCATTTGAATTATAAAATATTAAAATGTAGATTTATGAATACTTTGTACTTTCTAAAAGTTTAACCACAATAAAAATCCAAACTACCACTGTTGTGTCCATAATAATTCATAATTGTATGTGATGATGTTGAGAAATCTTCCTAAATATTAGGATGAGTCCCTCATTTATTTTAATGAAAATATCATTCTTAAAAGCATGTCAAGGAATATAGCTCAATAATTCAACAAATAACATTTGCAAATTGATAATCCATGGTTCAAAGATGTCAAGATGAACTCAAAGTCTACAGGGATACCCTTTTGATTCAAGGAAATAATGTTACCCTAAATGAGAGAAGATAGGGAAGACCATGTCAAATGAATCACTTTTTGATGTGGTTTGGCTGTGTCCCCACCCAGATCTCATTTTGAATTTTAGTTCTCATAATCCCCATGTGTCATGGGAGGCACCTGGTGGGAGGTAATTGAATCATGAGGGCGGTTACCCTCCGTGCTGTTCTTGTGATAGTGAGTGAGTCTCACAAGATCTGATGGTTTTATAAGGGGATTCCACATTTGCTCGGCTCTCATTCTTCTCCTTCCTGCTGCCATGTGAAGAAGGACTTGATTGCTTCCCCTTCCACCATGATTGTAAGTTTCCTGAATGTTCCCCAGCCGTACGGAACTGTTAGTCCATTAAAGTTCTTTTCCTTATAAATTACCCAGTCTCGGGTATTTCTTCATAGCAGCATGAGAACAGACTAATACACACTTCAATATTGATTTACATTTCTATGATCATCAGTGATCTTGAGTATTTTTTAATGTTTGTTGGCAACCTGCATGTCTTCTTTTGATAAATGTTTGTTTATGTCATTTGCCTACTTTGTAATGACATAATGTGTTTATTATTTATTGGGTTCCATGTAGATTCTGGATATTAGTACTTCGTTAGATGCATAATTTGTGAATATTTTCTCCTGTTCTGTAGGTTGCCTGTTTACTCTGTTGATTACTTCCTTTGCTGTGCAGAAGATTTTTAGTTTACTTAGGTCCCATTTGCCTATTATTATTTTTGTTTCATTTGCTTCTGATGACTTAGTCATAAATTCTTTGTCAAGGCTGATATTCAGTAAAGTTTTCCTAGGTTTTCTTCTAGGAATTGTATAGGTTTTTACATTTGAGTATTTAATCAATCTTGAGTTAATTTTTATATATGGTGAGATATAGGAATCCAGTTTTACTCTTGTGTATACGGATATCCATTTTTTCTAGTACAATTTATTGAAAAAGGTATCCTTTCCACATTGTTTATTTGTGCACGCTTTGTTGAAGATTAGTTGGTTGTAGGTATGTGGCTTTATTTCTTGGTTCTCTATTTAATTTTATTAAACTATGTATCTGTTTTTGTATTGGTACCATGCTGTTCTTGTTACTATAGGTTTGTAGTATAATTTGAAATGGGGTGAAGTGCTGACTCCAGCTTTGTTCTTTTTGCTTAGAATTGCTTTGGCTATCTGGGTCATTTTTTCAATTCAGAATTTCATATACACTTTGGGATTGTTGTTTTCTAATTCTGTGAAAAATGACATTGGTAGTTTGATAGAAATTGCACTGAATCTTTAGATTGCTTTGGACACCATGGTCATTTTTAATTTTTTTTAATCCATGAACATGGGATATTTTTCCATTAGTTTGTTTTATTTCAGGTTTCTTCCACCCATCTTTTGTAGTTCTTATTGTAGAAATATTTTACCTCCTTGGTTAAACGTATTTCTCAGTTATATGTGTGTGTGTGTGTGTGTGTGTGTGTGTGTGTGTGTCTATTGTAAATGAGATTGAGTTCTTGATTTTGTTCTCAGCTTGAATATTATTGCTATATAGAAATACTACTGACTATTGGACATTGACTTTGTATTCTGAAACTTTATTGCAGTCATTTGCCAAGTCTAGGAGTCTTTCAGAGTCTTTAGGGTTTTCTTTGTATAAGACCATGCCATCTCTTAATGTAACTTCTATCCCAACTTTTGTGGTAATTTTTTTCTTGCATTTTTCATAATTTTATTTTCTAATTTGTTTATCCAGAAATACCATTTAGTTCTGTTTGGTATTAGACTTGAAAACAGTGCAAATTTTCTTTCTTAATAAATAATGAAAATAAATTTCGTTTTTGAAATTCATCCATGTTTTTGCATAGTTCATTCATTTTTACTGATGTATTGAGTAGTCTTAAGTTACCAATTTCATTTTTAATAGTTATGCTTTTTCCAAAAATTTTATAATAATTAGTAGTTTTATCATGACTATTCCTATATACATATTCATATAAATGCATAACCAAGAGTGCAATTGCTCATTTGGAGGGCATGCCATCTTTAGCACTATGACTATTAAATAAATTGTTTGCATTGATTAAGAGAGTGATATTCCACATCATCACCAGGACTGTGGATTGTCAGACATTTTAAGTAACTGTGGCTCCCCATACAGGATAACTTGGTTAAACTTGCTATTCACTTGGCATCCCTAGCATTATATTATTGTCATCATAAGAATGGAACCCAAAGTTCTGGAGTTTTTAATCAATTATTAAACAACAATTAATCGAATAGCGTGTAAGTTCCTAACCTTGTGCTAGCCGTTGTCCTACGTTTGTGATAAGAATAGATAAAGTGCCCTTCTACCTAGCAGTTTAGACAATAAACAAGGAGAAAAGAAATTAAATGTGTATTGTATGATAGCAGGTTAGTGATAATCACTAATAATCCAATGAGTTTATATGATACCAAAATATTGATTAGATCAGGAAATCACTGCTAAAGAGGAAACATTATTTATCAGTATGTTTATAACAGATGGAGCAATGAGTATAAAAGTCATGTGTTAGGGTATGCAAGATGATGATATAGAGCAGAGTAATCAAGGCAAAGGATAATGGTAGGTGGAGAAGCCAGCTTATAGTTCTGAGCAAGATTATATCTTTAGCTTTTATTAGGCATGTAAATGAAATACTTTTGAGATTTTCAGCTGGAAAAATGAAACTAATGTGAAATGCATTATATTACCAGAGATGACTTCCATTGCCTGGTGGGGAAGAGACTGGAGGAAGGATGGATAATGGCAGCACACAGATGCTGCTGAGAAGCTATTTTAGTAGTTCATGTAAGAGACAATTGTCAAATTTGCAATAAACTTCCAGGTGAAATGGAATTGACTTTCTAATGGCTTGGAATGGTGTATATAAAACAGCTGGTAATGACTCCATGTTTTGAAGCTTTAGAAAATAGATTAATAATGGCTCAAATTACTGAGTGAAAAATTACTGGGAAAGAAGCAGGATTGGCAGGATGCAGATAAAGAATTCTCTTTTACTTACTAAGGTTGAGATGCCTATTTGATATTCAAGGCAGTCGCAAATGAGATGAGTGTTCAGGAATGAGATATCAGCTAAAGATATAAATTTTAGTCTTGTGCCCATATCTTAGCTGCAAGGAAGGATTTTATGAACTGCTGGTGAGACTGTAAATCAGTGCAATCAACGTAGACAAAGAAATAAATGCATACACCATGTCATCTTGTAATAACTCCCAACCCCCAACACCTAAAGAAGAGACTGTGTGTTTAAGTTGGGAGTGTATTGTGGAGTAAGAATAAGAAACAGGATGGGTGCTATAGGGAGAGAGAGTAAAATCTAGAACACATTATTAAGTTAGGTGATGGAATACTATATGACCATTCACTGAAGTGAAACAACGGGGGAAATATGTATCCATCAGCTCTAGGAGTTCCATTTTTCAAGCATAGCCTCATGGATGCTAACTTCTCGATGTGTCTAGACAGTGCATTTATGAGTAACAAGCAAAATGCCTACAACAATCCACACAACATTGTCTGAGAAATCCCACAGCAGAAAGTGAATTCTGCTCTGGTCTGAAGCCACATACTATCACTTCCATCTTTATGAAACTGACCAAAGTCTACATAAAAATAGTAACCAAGGCTCTGACTGGAACAAGAGGTAATGCTGAGAGGGTCTGCAGTGATGTAAGATCCAATACACCCTATGATTTTTAAATTTTGTTCCTGGGTTTATAGCCTAGAGAAACTCTGACATATATATGTGTATATATATATACATTCATATATATACACATTTAATATATATATACACACATACACATTCATAGCAGCTTTTTGTTGAAATAGCAAAAAATGAGAAAAAAACTAAATGGCAATATAATGAACAAAAGGGAGCTGTGTTTTGATATTTTTATATAGTACAATGCTAAACAGCATTTAAAATAATTGATAAGAATTATATGGGCCAACATAGATGGACATCATCAATGTCATATAAAACAAAATAAAGCAGAAGGTAGATAGACACTTTTTTTTTGAGTCGGAGTTTTTGCTCTGTTGTCCAGGCTGGAGTGCAGTGGCGTGGTCTTGGCTCACCGCAACCTCCGCCTCCCGGGTTCAAGCAATTCTCCTGCCTCAGCCTCCTGAGTAGCTCGGATTACAGGCACCCTCCACCACGCCTGGCTAACTTTTGTATTTTTAGTAGAGACAGGGTTTCACCATGTCGGCCAGGCTGGTCTTGAACGCCTGACCTCAGGTGATCCACCCACTTAGGCCTCCCAAAGTGCTGGGATTACAGGCATGAACCACCACGCCCTGATGATAGACACGTTTTTAACTTCTAAAAATATATGATCATGATTGTGTCTGTGGAGACTTGCACATATACTAAATTTTAAACAATTAGAGATATTTGTTCATTACCACATTTTGGGAGTCATTATTTCCTCTATGAAGAGAGAAAGGAATTTGATACAAGTTCACAGGGGCTTCCAGTAGATTGAGACTTTTATTTCTAGCTGAGCTGCTGATGTATGAATTTTTTTTGTTATTATGACTTTCATATGTATTAAAAATAAAATGAAAAAACAAGGATTAGGTGAGGAACCTATACGTCTCTAATATGCAAAATACCACAGAAATAATGACTGTTGGGAAATTAGGCCTTAGCTCTGATGTTTGAACCATCCCCTCAATGTTTCCCAGTGCTTCTTAGAGTATTTTGATCACCTCTGTGTTGGTGCTTTAGAACTAGAGAAGAACGTTTTGTTAACTTTTTTTTTTTTTTTTTTTTTTTTTGAGACAAGAGTTTCACTCTTATTGCCCAGGCTGGAGTGCAGTGGCACAATCTCGGCTCACTGCAACCTCTGCCTTCTGGATTCAAGCGATTCTCCTGCCTTGGCCTCCAGAGGAGCTGGGATTACCTGCCACCACATCTAGCTAACTTTTTGTATTTAGTTGGTCGGGGTGGTCTTGAACTCCTGACCTCAGGTGATCCACCCATGTCAGCCTCCCAAAGTGCTGGGATTACGTGTGTGAAACACTGCACCTGGCCTTTTGTTAACTTTTAGTTTAAGTTCAGCAGTACACGTGCAGGTTTGTTATACAGGTAAACTCGTGTCATGGGGATTTGTTGTACAGGTTATGTTGTCACCCGGGTATTAAGCTTAGTACCCATTAGTTACTTTTCCTCAACCTCTCCGTTTTCCCACCCGCTACTCTCAGGTAGGTCCGAGTGTGTGGTGTTCTCCTCTATGAGTCCATGTGTTCTTATCACTTGGCTCACATTTATAAATAAGAACATGCTGCATTTGTTTTTCTGTTCCTGCGTTAGTGGGAGCTGAGGATGGGTGGAGCTGAGGATAATGGTCTCCAGCTCCACCCATGTTCCTGCAAAGGACATGATCTTGTTCTTTTGTATGGATGAATACTATAAAGTCTTCCAAACTGTTTTGGTTTTGGTTTGTTTTCTTTCTTGAGAAAGGAAAGACAAAACAGAAATAAAAGAGTAGGCCGAGCGGGGTGGCTCACGCCTGTAATCCCAGCACTTTAGGAGGCTGAGGCAGATGGATCACTAGGGGTCAGGAGTTTGAGACCAGCCTGAACAACATGGTGAAATCCCGTCTCCACTAAAAATACAAAAAATCAGTCAGGCATGGTGGCACATGCCTGTAATTCCAGCTACTAGGGAGGCTGAGGCAGGAGAATCGCTTGAATCTGGGAGGCAATGGGTTGCAGGGTGTGCTGGGATGGCACCACAGCCTGGGTGAAAGAGTGAGACTCTGTCTCAAAAAAAAATAATAAAATAAAAAAGGGAGAGAGAAAGAGTACCAATGTATGGCAGAAATCAAGAGAAGAGTTTGCTTTTTTGAATAACTACACCCTGGACATTAGTTTCAAGAAACCGTCTGCTGGAAATATAACTATATGTTTAAGTTGACGGATCATTATTACACGTAGCAGAAAGAAAGTCACTCCTTGCTAGAAAGCCCTGTGTAGGTCATTAGGCATCACAGTGTGGAGTTATCTAAGCAAGCACCAAGGTAGGATATCTGAATAACTGATTTATTTCCATGTTTACTGACAATATTCATTGCAACAAGTCAGTAGAGAAACAGTAAAGAGGGCAGGCATGGCTATGCTTCTATAGAATCTAGTGAAGAGGAGATAATTTCAAATAACCCAAGAAGGTAAATGAGTAGTCAAATTTTCAAAAGGACTATTAACTCACAAACAGGAAACTATAATAGAAAATAGTTGGTTGAAGGCAGAATGCCCAGTTCAGAAAAGATTCCTCTGAAAAGCAATATATAAGCATAGACTTCGAGGATGAAGAGTCACTCATTTTGAAAGAGCAGATGAAGAAAGTTTCAGGACAAAGAAACAGCCATCTGCAAAGACCTCAACAAAGATATCACACAGAAAATGCTGTATTTAATCTGTTGCTAGACAAAAGTGAGCTACGGATCACATGGTCTTGGATGAGGGAGACAGATGATATAGTTTGGATGTCCCGCCCAAATCTCATGTTGAAACCAGATCCCCAGTGCTGAAGGTGGAGCTTGGTGGGAAGTGTTTGGATCATGAGGTCGAATCCTTCGTGACTTGGTGCTGTCTCCATGGTAGTGCACCTACCCCAACACACTCTCTCTCTCTTGTTCCTGCTTTCACCATGTGAAGTGCCTGCTCCTGCTTTGCCTTCTGTCATGAGTAAAAGCTCCCTGAGGCCTCTCCAGAAGAAGATGCCACTGTGCTTCCTGTACAGCCTGCAGGACTGTGAGTCAATTAAACATTTTTATAATATCCAGTCTCAGATATTTCTTCATAGCAATACAAGAACAGCCTAATATAACAGATAAGCAGGGACTAAAGTCATCAAAATTAGAATTGTGCATTTAATTTTGATTGCATTTAATTTTCATTGCATTTAATTTTGATTGCATTGAAAAGGCAGATGCTTTGAGGCTAGAATGAGGTAATAACTGTTTTGTTTTGTTTTGTTTTGTTTGCTCTTAACAAATTAGTCTGACTTCAGTCCATAGTAAATTGGAGAGGAACTGGTAGAACATAAAAGAACTGGTAAAAAGCCATTGTAAACACTCAAGTTTCAAAAACAATTTTGTGGTAAGGGCAAATCCTCAGGTCAAGAAAAGTGTGTTACTAAATTCCGTTAGTTTCCAGAAGAAAGATAAAGTCATATGACACAGATTTTACTCCTTACGTTAGAGAGTGTGCTAAGGATACCACCCACATTTTCCAACATTTATTTCCATCATGTTTTATGATCTTCATCTATATTCCATCCTCGTTATTTCTAGCAAGTCTATGAAATTTCTTACATTAATAGAAATAATGTATTAATATTCAGCAATGTGCTAAACATTGTTGAAACATTGTCTCAATATTACTCTTGGAAGAGCTCTAAGGTAGACAATATTTCCAATATATGAGTCATGAGGAAACTGAGGAATGGAAAGATTAAACAACTTGTTGAGGGTAGCATAATTGTAAATGGTGAAGACATAATACAAATCCTAATATCTATGACTCTAATGCTTTAAAAAATCATTATATACACTACGCTGTCTCTGATGTGTGAATCTACCCACTTCTAATTCATTATAACAAGTATTTGTTGCCAGGTAGCATTCCGGGCTTTGGGGATACATCTTTGGAAAAGCTTACAGAAATCTCTGTCCTCAGGGAACTAATATTCTAGGGACTATACAATAAACAATAAGCAAAAATGTAACATGTATAGTGTGTTAGACTGTAGTAAGTACAATGGCAAAAAATTAAGAATGGAGAATGTCTAAGGGGACAGATTGTTTGGAATTTGAATAAAGTGGCTATGGAAAACCTCACTGGGATAATGGCATCTGACCAAAAGCATGAGGAAGATATAGAACAAACCGTATCTGTTGCATGTTTAGTAATAACCAAGAAAATACTGTACGTGAAGCTGAGTGAGAAAATTACATAGTGGAAGGAGGGAAGTCCATAGAAGAATTGGGGGCTTCATGTGGTGGAGCATCTATAAAGCATTGTGCAAGACTCTGACTTTTACAATGAATGAAACGAGAGATCAGAGTTTTACACAGAAAAAGGTAATAACCTGATACATGTTTTAAAGTGATTATACAAATTGCTCTTTTGAGGATGTACTGAAGGGTGCCTTACGCAGAATCAGAAACACCTGTTTGCTGGCCATTTCAATAACCTGGGCAATAAATGATGGTGGTTAGCACCAGGATGCTAGTGGTGAAAGTAGCAAAAATGATCAGAATTGAGCTGCATTTTGAACATACAGTTAATAAGTTCTGTGGCATGACAGAAAAATGATTCCATAATATTTCTATTGAGCAACCTTGTTGATGTGATATTCAAACTAAGTCCTAATATTAAACAATGTAGGAATTTCAATGAAAATATGACCAAAGGGAGAAAATGGCTCCCAACCTACTGTAATTAAAGTTCCCTTCTGTTGTTTTAAAATGCTACTATGGATAGAGAAAACAAGATATGGATTTGGAAGAAAATTACCCACAGTCTAATTGTCAGATTTATTGACTTAAAGATGTTACATGGCACTAAAGTTGAAAGAAAAATAAGAAGAAATTCTAAAAGCCAGCATGTTAGATTTATTCCCTCCACAAAAAGAATTGCTAATATTTATAAAGTGAGATAATATGCCAAATACTTGTACTTGGCATAATTGCATTTTCTCAACAAATCCTATATAATCAACATTGTTTTATTTGTATATGTGTGAAAAATCATGACACCTGCAGTTTAAGTTACATTTGTATGAAACAGTCAATATGTGGCAGAGCCAGAATAAAGCCCACGTTTAGATTAAAGGAATTCTCTTTCCATTGCACCCACCCGTATTGCCTGTGGAAACCCTAAACAAGCCATTTAAATTTGTTGGAATTCCGTTTTTCAACTTTTTAAAACCTCTTAAGAGTCCAGTCCTAAATCAAGTTAATGTTTAAATTCTTCACTTATGCTTAGTATGTACATTATTCCAAAATGTGAATTGGTCCCAAATATCATATTCATTCTAACAGAGGACATTAAAAGTTTAAAAGATATCTGTTATATGGCTGAACTGATTATATTTTATCGGAAAGTGAAAGGAACTGAAAGGAACTACTCAGCATATTTCTAATGAGTATACAGAGGAAAAGTACTTTGCCTCATTTAATTTTGTAAAATCTCTCTCTGGCACATAATTCACAGTCTTTTTTTGCCCACAGGAATAGTGAGGCAGATATGTATTAATTCATGTCATAATACAAGAATAGGTAGCGATAAAACACTGGCATTTTCCAAATTGCCAGTATAAAGAATTGTCAGAAGAACATGGGCATTAGCTTCAGATTCTCCAAGGGGTTAACATTTATGTTAGCTGTTAAATATGAATTATGTATTAACTTCTCATATTTCATATATAAAACTTTATGCTTTGGTCCTGTTCCTCGGGATGACCTTGATGTAATCAGAAATAATAGTGTTCTTTACCAAAGACATTAATCAATAACTTTATAATACGAAGCACTATGAATATTTAATGGCTTCAGCTTGAATAATTCAAATCCCATATTACTAAAAAATAAAGTCAATTGAGTGACTGAGAGTTCCATATTCCACAATTCCTACTCTGCTTACTACCTATTCTATTTACTATTCTCTTTACTATTTGAGAAGGGTATGGAGTTGTGTATGTTGCAAACATCACGTAACTTTTGTTCGACTTTCTTGAACACGTCATATTATTTTTTTTAGTTCATTTTCTGAATATAAGTAATTTTTGGTGAATTAATACTTTAAACAAGAGTTCACCTGGAAAGCAGCAGGCAAAATTTCATTAAAAATATTATTTTATTAACATACCTTAAAAATGTAATAGGACAATGCCTCAAAGAACAATTTCAAAATAAAAACACAGAAAACAAATGACCAGCAAAATTGCTCTGAAGTCTTAAAAGCAGAAATAAATACTTCAATAATCATAGGTAATATGGAAATCCAATGTATGACTTACCTATAGAAAACCCTTCTGGAATTTCATTTAAATCTAACGTCAATATGAGCTATGTAGGAAGTCCATTAATAAATAAGAATATTATATAGGTACACATGTATATATTAATTTTAAGCCACATGCAGCCCTATTTGAAAATGTTAAAAAAAATCATCAGGATTAGTCCATACTGATTATTAAAAAATAAAATTGTCATTGCTCATTGTAGAAGATAAATGTCAGCTGTGCAGCAGATGTGTTTATAGCCACCCAGTAATCCTATCGCCTCAATAATGCATTTCCCTTTTTTTAGTTAAAAACTTAATTACATTAAGAAACTGTATGTGTTTAGGAATATGAATATAGAAGGAGTAATCATCGTTTAGTAAAATAAGTTTTACTTGCATATTAAAATTTACTGTGTTTGTGAAGATGCTGATAGTACATTACATATGGAGATCCAAGTGCACATAGTCACTAATTCTTTAAACTATGTTTGATATTAGTAATAATTTACTTTACATATATATCGGAATTTAATTGAAAAATAGTAAATGACTGCTAATATACATTATTCTTCTGAGTTGCATTTTTGCTTAATGAAATAGAATTTTTAAAAAAATTGTTTATCTTTATTCCTACTAGATTATACATTTCATGAGAAAAGCATTATCTCTTTATTAGTATATTTGTTTACCTGTATTAGAACTTGACTTTGAAATAAACCAGATATAATACCATTGTTGTAGATGTATTTATTGTAGTAAAAATAATATTCTGCATCTGAGTTTTGAGCAAGGAGATTTTACAGTCTCCTTTCAGTTAGAAAACTACAAGACCCTCTTAACTGATGTTGGAAATGTAAGTAAAGAAGATAAAAATTAAAATGATAAAGAAAAGCATTTGGGGTATAGTAGCACTGTGCTTCCCAGGAGAATGAGTTGTTAAGTGCTCACTCCGCATTTTTCAGTAACATATACTTAAAGTAAGCACACAGGGGCTACAGACGCTATTTTTTGGTTCAACATGACCTGAGCAGTTAATTATTTGTAAAGGGAAGAAGCAAGAATAGGCTCAGGGAGGGAGACAGAGAAAGACTGGGTGGGGCGGGGAGGGAGGGAGAGTTTCACCTGTATCTAAAACAGATCAGAAGCAATTTCTTCCTCCAACTCCTCACTTGTCTATTTCTACTAATAAAGAGCAAAACCAGACAAAATAGATTATTGTGTCATTTTTGTTTTCTTATTTTGTAATACACAGAAAAACTCAAGCTGGAGACGGAAATGAACAGATGCACATGGCTGGAAAGACTCAGTGCTAATCTCTACAATGTTGTTTTAATAGAATGGAGACAGGACCACATACTTTCTTACAATAATGAGGATCAATAAAGACAAAACTGACACTTTGTAATGAATAATGATCTGAACACTCACCTGAGAAAGTATCTCTTTGTTGCAGGTTTTTGGAAATGGGCTATATTTTTTGAATCATAAACGATATGTACTGCCATAAACAAGAGGATTTCAAGCCAGCTCCATCTGGTCGAAAATTATTTTACTTATTACTAAGAGAAAAGTGTAAGACAAGTCCTGTGGTAAAAACAGATTTATTGCCTCTGCTATTCACCTGTGTTATTTCTTCATATATTACCATTGACATATATTATCCATTCTTCACAGCAATGGCTTTGCCGTGGCAAATTAAATATCTCATTGTCCTTCTCTGTCCATTTTACGTTATAATGTTTCTGAGCAGACTTTTATAGCTCTCTCACAGAATTATAGCAAGTCTTTAAATAAAAACAAAATTGAAACAAAAATTTTAGACTCAACTTAAAATCCCTCTTTATTTTATAATTTGGATTTTTAAGTAAAATATGCTATATCCTATTTAACGAGAACTTTCATATGTAATGTGTCAATGGAATTATCTAAAGCTCACTTGGTTTTGCATAAAAACACAATTAGAGTAAAAACATTCTAAAATAGACACTGGAATAAAAACAATGAAAGCAAAACTTAATTTTACATTTTTCATTCAAGTATTTTGATTTTTACTATATTATATTATTATATTAGGTATCAGAGTAATCATTGATCGCTTTCAAAACCCTGCTCCTTTCTAGGTGCAATGAAGAATTTTTATTTTATTGAGAAGTTATCTTAAGATGTAAGACTTGTGAATGATAGTAAAGATTTAGTAGACCCAATGTATTCTCAGATAAATGTAAAATAAGCAAGATATGAATTAAAGGGTAAATATAGAGTTTAACAGCATAGATCTTAAAATCCATTATCATAAGGTAGAAGGATGTATAATTTATCATGATTAAAATATACTAAATATTCATATCACAGCATTCTGATTTCTGATATCTACAATTTAGGTGACATATATACATATGTGTGTATATATATATAACTGTATTATTTGATATTTTAAAAGATAAAAGAGTTATATATTCAAATACCAGTATAGATGTTGCTCTGAAAGTATTGTTAGATGAGATTAACATGAAAATCAGTAATTTCTGAGAAAAGCAGATTATTTTCCAAAATATTGTAGGGCTCATCCAGTCAATTGATTATATTAAAAGACTGAGAACCCTGAAGGAAATAATTCTGCCTGCAGATTGCCTTTCGTCTTGAGACTGTAACATCAACTTTTCTCTAGGTCTCTTGCTTGCTAGCCTACCCTGCCAATTTTTTATACATTAAAAAATATTTTTCTCAAATATTGTAGTTCTGCTATTTCCAGAAACGCTTGAGGATTGTACTTCCAAGTTCTTTTAAAGTTGATCATCGTCATGAAACTCATCATCAAATGGCATTTGAGCAAAATCTTTATTAATTAAACATGAGTGGAAGTTTAAAGGCCAAAGCACAACTCACTCAGGCATTGTGAACTATGTGTGCAGACAGATCACAACTCATCCTTGGTCTCTGGGTGTGTCTGCATCTATTACTGACTTACCCTGGATATGTAAAATGAGTAAGAAAAACTTTTTGTGTTAGCCACTGGGATTTTTGGTTTGTGTATTACTTTAGCATATTATCTCATTTTGAATGCTATAGTTTAGGACACTAGTTTAAACTACTGAAGTTAAAATGTTCTCCTTATTTCAGAGGAGAGAAGGATCTTACAGTGACAGACATCCATTAGTAAGAATTAATTTCTAGAGATAAAGT